>NC_000009.12:38191818-38343333 GCF_000001405.40 Homo sapiens | reverse complement strand
CTGTTGGGTGTTGGATTCTGACTGAATGGCCTCTGGACCTCCTGTCACCTACTGGTGAAGGCCTCTCTGCCACCCTCCTGGGCCAAAGTCAGCTGGGTAAAGCAGAGCCATTGGCCCTGAGAGGCACAGTGACTTACTTGCACAGGGCCACTCAGCCAGTTGGTGGAGTAGGAAGCAGAGAGTGAGTCTGTCCAACCTCAAAGCCCATAAGAAAAATCAGCCTACAGGAGCTGTGCTTTGAAGGCTGAACTCATTCCTGGTCGTCGAAAAGAGAGGATGAAATTGCAGAATTTGGCACATTTTAATCCTGAAGTTTTTTATTCAAAGGATGACCGTCCTGCAGCATCAGAGCCCAAGTGTGTCCTGTTCTGAACAATAGCAGAGACAATGACTATAAATAGCTGCCATGAAGGTAAAGAGTTAGGTTCCCATGGAGAGACAATGGCATAGGAGACGCAACTGGGGTGGGGGACAGGTGTCAGAAAAGTGTCCTCTGAAAAACCAACATTTGGGCTGAGACCTAAAGGCTGAGCAAGAATCAGCCAAGGGAAGGATAGAAAAAAGAGAGTCACAGGAAGAGGAAACCATGTATGCAAAGGCCCTGAGGCAGGAAGCTGTGTGCTGTGTAAGTGATGGAAAGGAAGCAAGTCTTCCTGGAGCTCTGTGAACAAGAGGACGATTGCTTGAGGCCAGAGGACCCCCGAAGGCCTTGATAAGAAGTTTAGATTCAATTCTAAGTGATCCAATTCCCATTTTTAGTGGGTTAGACCTCAAGGAGTCTAGGGGTGGGAGTAAGGGAGTGATAGATGGATTTGGTTGGAGATATTGCCATGTTCTGATATTAGTTAGAGGGGTAGTGTATCTGGCAGTTGATGAAGAGATGAATAAGATAAGGGAAACTCATTGGAAAGCACCTAATGCCTTCGAGTGGGGTAGCCTCAGTACCCCTGGGCAGCTGGAGAGCTTGCTCCAGGCTTTGAAGGGCTGGACTATCAGAAGCCACGGTGCTTGTCCATGTGCTCTCCAGAGTTTGCCCTTGCTCTCCAAGGACATTTGGACATCTGGTCCAGGCCTGAGTCACCTTCTCTGCCAAGTGATCACATTGACAGGCTCTGCGGGCAGGAATCTGCTCTTTGCCTCTGTGGTAGTCAAAAGAATGTCTCGAGAGATATCTATGCCCTCATCTTCAGAATTGGTGAATATGTCAGGTTGCATGGCAAAAGGAAATTAAGGTTGCAGATGGAATTAAGGTTGCTAATCAGCTGACCTTTAAACAAGGGGGTTATCCTGGATTATCTGGGTGGGCCCAGTGGAATCACCAGGGTCCTTTAGATGTGGGAGAGGGAGGTGGAAGAGGAGGTTAGAGTGATGTGATCCATGGATCTGAGGAGGACCTGATCCATGATTGCTGGCTTTAAAATTGAAGGAAGAGGCCATGAGCCAAGGAATATAGACGGCCTTTGGAAGCTGGAAAAGACAAGATATGGAGTCTCTTCTAGAGCTTCCAGAATGGAGTCTTTTCTAGAGCTTCCAGAAGGGAATGCTGCCCTGCCAGCACTTTGACTTGAGCCCACTGAAACTCATGTTGGATGTCTATCCTCTGGAAGTTTAAGATAATACATTTGTGTTGTTTAAGCCACTGACTTCATGAAGTTTGTTCTAGCAGCAATAGGAAACTATAACAGTTGCCCTCCCCGACATGGGCACCATCTCTCTGTGGGTGGGTGGTTTTTTCTCAAGCCCATAAAGTCACCTTTCCCCCAAACCCAGGCACAGTGGAAAGAGCACTGGACCTGAAGCCTGGAAACCTGGGCCTCAGTCTCTGCAGCTTTGTCAACTACCTGTGAGACCTTGGGCATCTCCCTCTGCTTCTCTGGTCTCAGTCTGCAAAGGGGCTAATACCCACCCCGTATGACACCTTGCAGGGGGACAGCATTCTGCAAGCCATAATGTGGTGCACATGTGGAAAGGATATTCATGGTGCAGGGGGGTGACATGCTTTAAATGTTTGTCCCCTCCAAACATTTCATGTTGAAATGTGACCTCCAATGTTGGAGGTGGTACCTGGTAGGGAAGGTGTTTGAGTCACATGGGTGGATCCCTCATGAATGGCTTGCTGATGAGTGAGTTCTCAGTTCTCACTCAGTTTAGTGAGATCTGATTGTTTAAAAGAGTGTGGCACCTCCCCACTCTCTCTCTTGCTCCTGCTCCCACCATATGATATGGCTGCTCCCCGTTTGCCTTCCATCATAATTGGAAATTTGCCGAGGCTCTCACTACACTTCCTGTATAGCCTGCAAAACCATGAGCCGATTAAACCTCTTTTCTTTATAAATTGCCCAGTCTCAGTTGTTCCTTTATAGTGATGCAAAAACAGACTAACACAGGGAAGAAGTTCGTAGTGCTCGAAGACCAGATATTTAAATGAGAGAAAAGACACAGGCATGAGGAAAGATAACATAAAGTGGAAAAGCTACAGGGAGATGTGACTGTTGGGCCCCCATTCAAGACTAGAGCTGGGCAGCACTGAATGTGTACAGGGGATGGCAAGTCCCAGGACACACAGCTAGTGAAGCTCATGAGGCTGGAAAGGCAGGCGAGAGCCTGGCCTCACAGGGCCTCGAGTGCCAGTGTATTAGTCTGCCAATAAGGATATACCCAAGACTGGGTAATTGATAAAGAAAAAGAGGTTTAATGATCTCACAGTTCTGCATGGCTGGGGAGGCCTCACAATCATGGCGGAAGATGGAGGAACATTGGCACCTCTTACATGGTGGCAGACGAGAGCATGTGCGGGGGAACTGCCCTTTATAAACCCATCAGATCTCCTGAGACTTATTCACTATCATGAGAACAGCACAGGAAAACTGTCCCCCATGATTCCATTACCTCCCACCAGGTCCCTCCCATGACACATGGGGATTATGGGAGCTATAATTCAAGATGAGATTTGGGTGGGGACAAAGCCAAACCATATCGGCCAGACAGAGCCGCCCAGCCTTTATCCTGAAGACAGATTCTGGGGAGCCCTAGTGGGGACCCAGTAACTTATTGGAAGGCCATGCCAGGGGGATGGGGCGCAAGGAGCACCTAGGAGACTAATATAAGAATCTTAGCTCAGGGTGGGAGGGAGGGTCCTCAGATAGGTGTGAATGCTCAGTTCACTCACTCATGACTCTGCCCTTGCCAGCTGGGAGCCCTTGAGCAAATCACTTACCATCTATAATCTCAGTCTTTCTCCTGTTCAGTGGGGCTTGGTGGTGGTGCTAACTCCATTGTAGAGTTGTGGGGCTCACCCCAGAAAACACACCCAACACCCTTGATATGGACCTCCTTGTGCTGCCCAAACCTCCATGCTCCCCTCTCACTATCCAGTGACTTCCACCCCATCAGGTGGACATGTTGGGTCCCTTCATTGTCCTTCCATCCACACCTGTGGCCCCCCTGCAAAAGCAACTTCTCTTTCCTGTTGTCTCTCTATCCTTTCCCAGCAAGGGCTTCTGATGTGTGCTCCCAGCATCCCCACATTCTTCAAAAGACGTGTTTGGAAACAAGAAATTGCTAGAGAGATGATTCAGTCCTTGGCCTCAGCTTGTGTCTGGACATAAGCAGGCCCATCTGTGGAGGCCGCACTGCCAAATTCTGTCACTCTTGCTCCATATGGTCTGTGCCCCCCTCTATCTCCCTCCCAGAAGCTGCAGTCTGTGCCTGTCTCTCACTCTGCTTTGGTTGCTACATGGAAAATTCAGCAAGGGATGTCTTGACTCTAGTGAGCAGGCATCTCTGCTCCTCTCCTGCCTTGCCTGGGACCACTATGGGGGCAAATATTGGGGGTGGGGCGTTCTGGGCTCCTTTGGAACCTCTTCCTTCTTGTCCACATAGGGCCACAGTGTGGAGTCCTAGAGCTGAGAGGAACAGAGGGAGGCTGTCAGCTCCTGCCTTGGAAGTAGAGGTCTCTGTGGCAGAAAGTAACTTCCTGAAATGCTGGCTCTGTCGTTCACGGGTCCAGTTCCCTTGTCCTAAACAGTGATGTCAGACAGCCTCTTTCAACCACAGCCTTGCTGGCAGGAAGCTGGACTTGGCACTAAAAGACCTCAATTCATATCAAGCTGTGTGACCTTGTGTTATTGGTTAACCTCTCTGAGTCATCTTGTGACAGTTGTGAACTGCGAGTGGTTATTCATGCCTTGTTCACCTCCTAGGTTGGTTGTTGGGGTCTAATAAGATGCCCATTGTGAAAGAGCTTGGTAAGCAGTAGGGGAGCAAATCTCAAAGTGTGGTCCCTGGGCCATCAGCCATAGCATTACCTAGGAATTCAGGAATAATGTAGACCTACTGGTCCTGAAGCTCTGGGGGTGGAGCCCAGCAATGTGGATTTCCACAAGCTTTCTGGTGACTTCAATGCCCACTAAAGCTTAAGAAGCTCTGGGAAGATGAGCATATGGATGAGACCATCCCCATCTCCTCATCAGTATATTGGCTCAGAGAGTCACCTTAAGTGTGCCGGGGCCTGTGCCACGTTTGGCTGTGTAAATATTTCATTGCAAACAGTCTAAGGTTTAAAGATCTGTGTGATTTCATCTGGGCAAATCCATTTCAAAATAAATTCATGATGTTTATGGGCAGAGAGAAAAAGCAACTTCCCAGGGAGATTTAAACCCAGGATGGCAAACTCAAAGCCTTCGGGAGCTAAGCAGGTGATGCGAATGTGGGAAGAGGTTGGGGTAGGACAGGGAGAGGCAGAGTCTGGCTGTGCTGCAGAGCTCAGCCCTTACCTAATGGCATTAAAAAATAACAAAAACCCTGATCTGGCCAAACAAAACACATATGTTAGACAGATCTGGTTCAAGGTCTGCCAGTTTTTAACTGGTACAAATGCTGAGGGGTGGGGAGGAGAAAAGAGATTTGGTCTCAACAAAGCTATGCATTGGCCACAGACTTAGTTGCCCTGGAAAATAGTGTTTGGCATGCAGTTATAATTCCCAGGTTCCGCCTGGGTTAACAATGGCATGATTTCATTAATTTGCTTGTTTATTTATTCCACACAAACTCTTTTCTAGGGCCCATGCTAGGTTCTGTGGCCCCAAAGCTGAATTAGACACTTTCTCTCGAGGGACTGGACATGTCTGTGGATGCCTCCTGTCCATCGTTTTACAGCATTCTGTGGAGTGCTACTTGACGAGCTACTGGGTATTCCACGGGGAAAGTGGTCCAGGGTTAGCTAAGCATGGAAAGCGCCTAGTTAAACAAAGTTACTTCACTGCAGGACTTCTCAGAGCCGTTGCTATGCTAATGTGTATTACACATTAAATGACCTCAAAGTGTCTGGGCCTCTCTGGGGTTCCTGATGGGCCTGTATGTCCTGACCTGTACTGGGGCTGGTGAGTAGATGTGGGATCCCCTAGAGGTGTGGCAGGGCCAGGGACCTGCTGCGCTTAGGCTTGGAGGGGTCTTCTTCCCCTGGGACCTTCAGGATCTGCAGTGAGACACTGAGGGGACAGTCCTCAAGGGGTGGATTTCACTTTCTGTGGCAGTAAGAGAGCTCAAAGGGTTTAATGCAGAGGTCCCCTGGTTCCATTTGCATTTGAGAAATATGACCGTGCTGGGGACGGGGAGGAGGGATCCACATCGGAGAATGGAGAACTGTCAGTGTCCCGTGCAACAGGAATGCTGAAACCTACTCCCATGCCAGTTTCTGTTTCTGGATTTTATTACCAAGAAAGGGTGAGAAAGCAATTTCTGTATTCAAACAGGGCTTGATCTCTTTCCTACAGCACATAAGCCACTGATCCACCAAGGAGCTTGAGGAAGCCTCAGACAGAAGGCCTTAGTTACGTTAACTGCTGCTTTTACAACCGAGGCTGGCTCTGACTTCTATGAATAAAATTTAGAGGTTCAGGACAGATCTGAAAACCAATCTCTCCCTTTTTCTCTTCTCAACTCTCCCCACTCATTGTCTGAGGCTGGCGCGCGTGCTCTTTTCTCTTTCTCTCTCCCCACCCCCTTTCTTGCTATCCTGCTGGCTCTCTCTCCTTCTGCCATCTATGAAGTCAGTCCAGTTTGGGACTCGATATCTCTTTGTTCTGGAAATCCCCACAGCAAAAGGAGAATGAATTGCCCTTGGTCCAGGATAATCTTTTGCCGAATTAAGATGGAAGCACATTCATGAAAAACCACAACACAAAACAAAACAAAAAATCCCAACTTCCCTGAAAACATAATTCACAGAGATCATGTCCAAGAATAACTTCTTGAACTAATCAAAACTGATTCCAAAATTGCCTCCGAAGTATCTCTGATGGCTACGTTCAGTTCAGTTTCAGATACAGGGGTCTTACGTCCACAGTGGAAAGGGTGAGAAAGTCTCACTTTCTTGATAAACCAAGTCATATTTAAGAAAGGCCTGGGAATATGAAAGTTTACTTTAGAAGAATCAGAAAAAGCTGGACGCAAGGCAGGGGCAGCATTTTAAAATGTCTATGTGAATCCCCCACAGCGCGTGCCGCACCATTGATGTATTCACGCGGAGCTCTCATTCATTTAATCCTCCTCATTACCTATGTTCTGTGGTCCGGGGAAGTCAAGCACTTTCCCGAGGCCACACAGGCAAGAAAGGACAGCTCTGGAGTGAAATGCTGGTGTACCAGGTTTAGGCCAGTCCATGCTGTGTCTGGGATGGATCTCGAAGGGTCTGTGCATCTGGGGGATAGCAGGAGAGAGAGGTTTTCGATTTGCTGGAGCAGCAGGAGGCGCCTGCTGGCCTGTCTCTGTGACAGAAGGGAACGGGACTCTCCCCACAGACGGGCCTTGGGGATTTCTCCCCCTCACTCTGTCCTCAGTCCCTCCCTTTGGCAGCCCTGGGTCTGTCAGTTTGCAGGGGATACACCAGCCAGCAATCCCAAGTCATGCTCCCAGGCCAGGAAAAACATAACAGGAAACCTCCTCCCGGTCTACAGGACAGGTTCCCCAGACTTCAGCAGACCCACGGAAATCTGCTTGCATGGATCTGTAGTACGCAATGACAGCCTGCTTGGCCATAAGATTCAAGGCTCACATTTCTCAGGTGACTGGAGGGGGTTCTAACTCATGGGGGACTCTGGCTTCCATCTGGCCAAGACTACAAAGAGCATCTCTTCCCATGTTGATGTGGCTGCCTCTTGCTTTGAGTCTCATCCTGTCTTTGGTCTGTATGCGAAAGGCAGGTTTGAGCCTGCAGGAACAGCAAACAGGAATCCTTTCTCTTCTTCGGGGTTTAAACAATTACCGATCCCACCCAAAAACAGACTTGGAGCTGTCCCTAACCTTCCTACAACAGAGACAAAGGAAATAGATTGCCTTTGTATACATTAAAACATGGAGTCTAGAACAATGGAGGTCAAGGCTCCACCTTGGCCACAGCTAGGATGTCCTGATCCAAGTAAAACCAGCACCAAATGTATCCTCATGGCTGGTGGGTAATTGTTTAAACAGGAGCCATGCTGCTAAAACACCTGCTCACCCAAGCAGTTTCCAAGGTCACAGCTACTATACTTTTGTGATTATTTATCTAATCCCACCTTTCCCAAAGCATCTTTCCCTATAGGATGTTAGTAGGTGTTGTATGGGGAGAAAGGTTTCTACAGTAAAATAAAGTTGGGGGAATAGCTGTATTCAAGAAAATTAATTAGGTTTAACTTAAAGGCTTTTCAGAGCCTTTAATATGCTAATGTGCTTTATGCATCTCTAATGGGGGAGTAGGCAGTATCCTCCCCCCACCCCGCCCCAAATTGTTGACCATAAATCCGTTTTTACTCCAGAACACCTCAGGGGACAAGGGCTTCGTGAAGTACATTGTTGGAAAGTAGTTCTTATTTTATACCCTGGCTATACTTTTCTCAGGATTGGTACTAACCACAGAATGGAAAAGGAGGACATTAGAGAATGAGGCTGAAGGGAGCATGGTGGCTGGACACCTCCAGACAGCTGAGAGGTTCCTAATGGCCAGGGCAGGAAGGGAGACACTGGGCCACCCTCACAGCTATTGTTTTGTGTTTCTTGAGATGTTTTCACCCCAGCTCCTTCTTCTGCCCCTAACCTGAGTTGCATATCACTTAATATTAGATTTGGTTGCAAATAGAGCCTCCATAATAGTGGCTAAACCAAGATAAAGGTATATTTTTCTCTCACATAAAAGTGTGCAGAGGAGGCAGTTCAAGACAAGTAAGGAAAAGACATAGTATCAGGGGCTCAGACTCTTTCTGTCTTGTTCTTCTGCCACATGTAGCTTCCATCCCCAAAGCCACTTCACAGTACAGGATGGCTGCTGAGTTCTAGCCATGGCATCCACATTTCTAGCAATAGAAAGGAGGAGAAGGAGGATAAAAGAGCAATCTCTCCCTTTTACGGGCTTCCAGAAATACTTCTGAACTCTTCTACTTACATCTCATTGATCAGAACTTGAACACATGACCACACCTATTTGCAAGGGAGGTCGGGAAATGTATTAACTGGGCAGCAATATGACCAGCCCAAAAATGGAGGTTCCAGCTAGAAGGGGAAAATGGATATTGGGAGACAATTGGCACTCTGCTACACATCAAAATTATTTCCATGGCTAAAGGAAATAAACCATTGGTTTGGGCCCAGAACCAATCTCAGTTCATCCCCAGGCTGTTTCAGTTTGAAGCTGGAGAAGAAGATTCTTTTTCTTCTATGGTTACTAAGCTGAAGAGGGTCTGAAGGGTTTGGAGCCATGCTCTTCAGCATGCAGAGAAAGCTTGTGTAGATGGAGAGAACAAAGGCGATATGCAGAGAGACACAAACGTGAGAGACTAGGGGAAACAGAATGAAAGAGGGATTGATCGATTAATTGTTTCCCAGTTCCAGTCATTCCTAAGGCCAGGCTCACCCCTGCCCTCTTCTGGTCACATGAGCCAATAAATCCCCTTTTGACCTAACACTATTTCAACTTGGGTTTCCATCACTTTCTGTAAAAGAGCCCTGGCTGCCAATGTTATCTTTTCTTCTGAGAGCAGGGACCACATGGATCCCTATTTTAGCAAAGAGAGTGTTTTCCTAGAATTAAATTGCAGAGGGAATTTATTACTTGATCTCATGTTGAAGGACATGGAATGACATAATTATACTCTTGCATGTCTGTGTAGGTCTTTACAGTTAAATCCATTAGCTCACCTGAGTGTCACAATCTCTCTGAGATATAGGTTTTTCCCTCCCATTGTGTAGACGTGGAACCGAAGCTCAGTGGGATAATCTGGTCTCTCTACATGGCTGCTCAGCAATGGCATCATTCATTGTTCCAGCAGCATTTTGTGTGCAACCTCTATAAAGATGAAGGCAGTGTGACTCCATCATAATTTGGAGGAGAATGCATTTTATATGGTGGATGAGCTTAAGAAAGCTTGGTCCAGGTGCTTTAATACAGGGACAGGCCTCAATGTGGAGGATGACCATTAGACCATTAAATATCAATGGTTTGCCTCAAGGCTCAGGCAGGTGTGTTTTGCAATTGATTCACAACTCACACTTGGAAGCCTTTGCAACAAGATTCTCTATAAAGGGCCTGTTGTGCAGGCCTTCAGTGTGGCCAGTTAAAGGGACAGTCCTCATTGTCAGCACCTGGTTGCAGGAAAAGTGTCTTTGGATTATGAGAATTTCAGAGTTCAGTCTGCATTCTCATCCAGAGAGAAGGGCACTTTCAGCCGAGGTGCCCATCTCTCTCACAGAAGAACTTCGGTTATTTAGGAGCTTGCAGTTCTGCCTTATGTAGCATAAAAGAGACAACTTTAGTTTGGCACAGCTTTATAGCAAGAGTCATTGACTTTACCAGGGTTCCCCATTGTAAGCAAAATAAACTGTGTCTTTAGCAAACATTTTTTTTTAAATAATCTATTGGGAGGATAATTGTATTTACAGGATCAAGAGAAAGCTGGAGGAACAGGTTTGGAAATGAGCAGGAATCAAAGCAGTTGTAGGTCACGAAGCTGGGGTGGAAAATCACATTTCAGCCTGGCGGGGAATGATGGTCCCAACAACGGACATGATAACCACTTCCATGCACAGTTCTGAATGTGCTCCATATTTACCTCGCCCACTCCCATGAGTCAGACTCCCAGGCAGAGGCCTTAATGGTTTGAGTGCTGTGGCTGCCAGAGGACAGGAAGCTGGGGATCTTCTCCCTTCACCTGTGTGGTAGAGGGGCAGACTTGGGTACCTCCCAAAGCAGTAGACCACTCTGTTTACCAATTACAGCTTTATTCATTTAAAAAGCGGTCCAGGTGGCTCCTAGAAGATGTTGGTTTTAAGATCTGAAAATAAAATGACAGAAGCCACTGTGTTCCCACTTTTACCCTCTCCTCCCAGTCCCTCAGAGCCAAATTCAGGGGGTTGGCAAGTGTCATGGGTCACCATGCGCATTCGCTTGTCCACACTGCCAACATACTTATTTTTCAGGACTGTGCACATCTGATCCTGCCTCTGGCCTTCACACACAGAACAAATGCTGTACCTGGTATTCAAGGCCTTCATTATCTGACTGCAAACCTGCTTTCCCCTCCTCCCGCACCTCAGCCCCCACCACCTGTTCTCCTACCATGGAATGATTTACATTCTTCAAACACACTCCTTGGAACATTTGGTTCTAGTCTTCTGTCTCCTCTTCCATCTGGGGAACGCCTGTACCATCCTCTCCCACCACTCCTGTGAGCTTTATTTTGACTCATTTCTTCATTATCTAGGATACTTACTGAGTGATATGGTTTGGATTTGTGTCCCTGCCCAAATCTCATGTCGAATTGTAATCTCCAATGTTGGAGGAGGGGCCTGGTGGGAGGCGATTGGATCAAGGGGGTGGATTTCCCCCCTTATTGTTCTCCTGATAGTGAGTTAGTTCTCACAAGATCTGGTTGTTTAAAAGCGTGTAGCTCCCCCACCCTTCTCTCTCTTGCTTCTGTCCCAGCCATGTAAGACATGCTTGCTTCCTCTTTGCTTTCCACCATGATTGTAAGTTTCCTGAGGCCTCCCCAGCCATGCTTCCTGTACAGCCTGCAGAACTCTGAGCCAATTAAACCTCTTTTCTTTATAAATTACCCAGTCTCAGGTATTTCTTTATAGCAGTGTGAGAACAGACTAATATAGTGAAGTAGACAGAATGATAGCCCCCAAAAGATGTCTACATTTGAATCCTTGGACCCTGAGAATATGTTACATGGTAAAAGGGGTTTTGCAGATGTTACTAAGGTTAAGGATGTTAAGATAGTAAGAGTACCCTGGATTATCCAGGTGGGTTCAATCTAATTGCATAAATCACATCAAAGTAGAGAGGCTCCTGGCTGTGACCACAGAAAGAGACGTAATTATAGAAGCAAGTCAGAGAGGGGGCAGCATGAGAAGGACTTGCCCTGCCATTGCCACCGTTGGTGATGGAGGAAGGCGCCATGAGTGAAGGAGCAGACAGCCTTCACAAGCTAGTAAAGGCCAGGAAATAGACTCTCCCCTCGAGCCTCCAGAAAGTAACCAGCCCTGCTGACACCTTGACTTTAGCCTAGTGAGAGACCCATGTCAGACTTCTGACCTATAGAACTAGAAGGTGATACATCTGTGTTGTTTTAAGCCACTAAGTTTGTGGCGATTCGTTACAGCAACAATGGAAAATGAATATTCCAGTAATTTGTTTTTTTTTTTCAAGGCTATGAAGAGTTACACTTTCTGAGGCTCTGGATATCTGAGAATGTCTCCCTATTGCTGTCCCCTATGAACAATAAATAATTCAGCTGACTTTATAAAGGGTTATTGGGTCATACTCTTTTAAACTAAAAATCTGCAAATGTTGTTTCATTGTTGTGCTGGAAAGGGCTAACACAGCAGGCCTGAGGCTATATCCTCAGAAAAACCTGCTGTCAAGGTTGGCCCTTGGCTGGTGTCTGGGAACTTGGATTTCGGGAGGGTTCCATCATTCTCCGAATGGATCGGAGCAGCTCACTGTGCTTAAGCTGTACAAACAATATGCTTTATGCCGAACACCTGTTTTTCTTCTGGGATTCTGAAATTTTCGTGTGTGCCAGCCAGAGGGTGCCTTAGCGACCAGACCCCAGTAGTACTTCAGGCACTGAATCTCTAGTGAGCATCCTGGTAGACAGCATTTCACGCATGTTGCCATTATTCGTTTGCTGTTGGAATTAAGGGTGCCCTGTGCAACTCCCCTGGGAGAGGTCTCTTGGGAGCTTGTGTCTGGTTTCCCCTTGACTTCGCCCCATGCACCTTTTTTCCTTTTGTTGATTTTGATTTGTATCTTTTCACGGTAATAAATGTACTCACAGCTATGTAATGCTGTGAGCAGTAGTACTCACAGCTATGTAATAGATGTACTACTACATGCTGGGCCCTGAGAGTTCTCCTAGCAAGCCATCAAACCTGGAGGTTGTGTTGGAGACTCCTGACACAGATGTGTCATTGTAGCATTTAGTGCCATGGGGGAAAACTTTGATGCCCGTAACTCCACTCACCCCTTCATAGAAATCCTTTTCTTTTCTTTTTTCCTTATCTGGATATTTATAATCATTTTTCTTTATCCTTGAAATTAAAATAAAATCACTAAAGTCAGTCTAGATGCGCGTCTCTTTTCATTACTTTTCCCTGGTAGTCAATGATCATTTTTAATCTAAACATGCCAGTCTTTAGCTAGGGGAGGTTTTTATCTAGTGTAGCAGGTATTACTGTCAAAATTAAACTTCTTTTTTCTCCTCTAATTTAAAAGAGAAGTGGCACAGAGTCACCTTCATCACTCTTGGAATGCAGGGAAATTCTTTGTGCAAATAGCCTCTTCCCAAGACCACTGAGACAATTACAATGTATCATTGGGTGGGTGGGCACCAGGCCTTTGTGTCTGAGGGCAGGGAGGTCACCAGGAATTGGGTACCTGCTGAAACCCCTCCTGACCCTGGATTACAACCCCTGGTTGTTGGTGCTGGTGAACACAGAAAGGACTGGAGTGGAAGGGCATGTGTGTCCAGTGCTAGGCACTAGCCAGAACAGAGGACGCAGTCCCTTCCACGCCTTGGGGTGCTCACCAAGGCGGTCAGTCCCCGGCCCCAGCTATTGCAGCTTGACTCACTGCCCGCGGTGTTGCACAGTTATTGCGTGGGTCAAGGACATGGCTGTTGCTGTATTCCAAAGATGACAATTGATAATTCCCGCTGGCCGCCGTGTGACTCAAGTGTCCCGTGTTTCTGAGATGACCCACCAAAGCCAGCTGCTACAGGTTAGTGCTGCCCTCACCTCACTGTCATAGCCAGGGATCACAATAACATTGCTGGGCAATATTTGAATTAGGGACTAGGAATTGAGCTCCTCATGCTGGTAATGGACTGGCTCATATTAGAGCTGATTCCACTGGCGGAAAAGAGTACTCTGGAAATTCCTGTACATGATTATTTCTTTAATGATTCTTCTTTTGTTTCTGTTATCTATTGTGTATAACAGACCACTCCCACAATTTAGTGGTTTAAAACAACCGTTGGATTCATTATTGATTACAATTTTGTGTATTGGCAATCTGAAATGTTCTCCTGCTGTACTTTTTATCTCTAAACCTAAGTATCTTCTTAAAAAAATTTCAATCGATCATGTATGAGCTGCAATTGTCTGGTGGCTTGACGAGCTAGAGGGTACAAGGTGGCCTCACTCACATGTCCAGCAGTTGGTGCTGGCTACTGGCTGGGTGTCTTGGTTGCCTTCCACATGGCCTCTCATCATCCAGCAGGCTAAACTGAGCTTCTTCACGGCATGGTTCTCAGGGTTCCAAGAATTAAAGTGGAAGCTCAGAAGTCACAAAAGACTGCCACTTCTGCATTCACTTGGTCAAAGCAAATCACAGGCCAGCCCAAATATGAGGAGATAGACTCTGTCTCTTGCTAGGACTGTTAGAGTTACATTGTGTGGACACAGCGGGGCATGACCCACTGGAGGTCATTTTAATAATCTACCACAGTTTCCTTCCAGCATTTCTACTACCTATAAAATTCTATTGGGGTAAAATAGAGCCCTGATCTTTTTCCCACCTGTCTGATCTTTTTACCCGTCATTTAAGTCTCTCTTTATTTGTATTCACTGGGTTCTAGAAGAATATATCAAGCATATGTTTTAATTTGCAAATTTGATTTTTTTACAGTGTCCAATCTAACTTTCACTAACTCTGTTACCTTTTTATTCATCAGTTATGTTTTTAATTTGAAAAGAAGCTTGTATGATTTCAGACCAATTCTTTTCATAGGTGCAATGTTTTCCTGAATGTAACTGAGAAGGCAACTTAGAGTTTTATCAAAATTTCCCCCTATTTCTTGCCATAAGACTAATTGGAGGCAGCCGTTTTCTCTCAGTTCCTCAAATATAGTCTCTTTCTTTTGAACCATTAAATCTTTTTATATCTGATAATTTTTCTCTATTTGCTCATCCTAACAAATGAGAAAGCTAGGTTTTGTTCAGAATTGGGGGCTGAAATGGGTTTATTTAGAGAATGTGTGACTGTGTGGTTAAGTCTTTCAGTTCCAGATGAGCTAAGAAGGAAAACAATGGGATTTTATGTGTTTTTACCTTTCCAAGATAGAATTTATATGGGATTAGACAGAAACAGTCAAAAGGAGCCACATGGCCAGAAATCTTTTCTGATTTGTTGCAGCAGCCAGAAGCAAATGCAAGCATCTGTAACCTGCACGGCTGCCCTCACTAGAGGCTAGTTGCAGGGGTGTATGATCTTTATTTGTGGAGACACCTAGACCCAGTGCAGGCCGAGGGGCTGCCATGGCCCACCATGCAAAGTCCTAGTGCCAGTCAACCTCCAGAGTCTGGATGTAGATGGAGATTTTAACTCCTCTCCTTCCCTATACTCTTTCTCTCCTCCAGAACTTACCACTTTAAGTTTGAGGAAAGCACTGAGACACTTTTGGGGCCCTCGCTCCTCAGATGAGATTCGTTTTCATTACAATGATTTCCACTGCAGTTAGCCTTCCCCTCTTGCACAATGTCTCATATAAATGTCTCAAATTTCTGGCAAGTGCCACCCTTTGTTGGTATTCATCCCTGGTAGAGATTGTTCTCTACTTTATATTCCTTTGGTCAAATTAGTGGGAATTTGGAAGATGAGGGGAGTTAAGACAGTTTAACCTTGGGCTAGATGACCACACTGTTCCACAGGAAATAAGGTCTGGATCCCAGACAATATGGAGGGTTAGAACCATAACTCCTTGTTTCCCGCCCAGTAAGCCTGGGACACAAAGGGCCAAACTGTTAATGAAATGTGGACAATAAAAGATCCATTCACTTGTGTGTCTTGACCTGTGCCCTTAATTCCCACAAATAAAGCCCACAGATGAGCTTATAATGCAAATTAGAAAAAATAAAGAGTAACAACCTTCAATAAGTGAGAATCAGGCAATATAACAAAAAGCAGAATTAGACAACTACCCCAGATAGTTGAAAATCTGATAGAGACTGTAAAATAAATACTTCATAATAATCAAAAACATTTGTAAAGGCCACGCACAGTGGCTCACACCTGTAATCTCAGCATTTTGGGAGGCCGAGGCAGGCAGATCACTTGAGGTCAGGAGTTTGAGACCAGCCTGGCCAATATAGTGAAACACCGCCTCTACTAAAAATACAAACATTAGCTGGGCATGGCGGCACTTGCCTATAATCCCAGCTACTTGGGAGACTGAGGCACGAGAATCGTTTGAGCCTGGGAGGCAGTGAAGGTTCCAGTGAGCCAAGATCATGCCATTGCACCGCAGCCTTGGTGACAGAGACTCTGTCTCAAAAAAACAAAACAACAACAACAAAAGTGTAAAGGATGCTGAAGACAAGTAAAACAAAACAATATGGGGGAGAAACAGGCAGATTTAGAAAGGAATCAAGTGGAACTTTTAGATGCTAAAATATAATCATTGGAATTAAAAACTCAATGGACACACAATTAGACACAACTAAGAGAATTAGTGAAGTAGAAGATAGCTTTGAGGCTACTATCCAGAATGCAGTACTGTGAACTAAAGAGACTGAAAATGTGAAACTGAAGTTGAGAAGGTGGAATGAGTAGCTCATTCTAGGAGGATAGAATAAGGAGCTCCAATATACATTTAATAGGTTTTGGTATGGTTAGAGCTGAAAGGAATTGGGAGAGGCACCATTAGAAGGGAGAATGGCTGAGAATATTTGATAATTGATGAGAGGCATGAAATCTCTAATGACTAAGGATATTCCCAAATTGATGAAAAGTAAGAATTTTCAGATTCTATAAGCACAAGTACCAAACAGGATTTTTTTTAATCCTAAACATATCAGACTGAAACTACAGAGGACCAAGACAAAGAGAAGATCTCAAAAGCAAAGCAACGAGACAGACTTATTAGAAATGACAGTGAGGCTGGGCATGGTGGCTCACGTCTATAATCTCAGGACTTTGGGAAGCTGAGGTGGGAAAATTGCTTGAGGCCAGGAGTTTGAGACCAGCCTGGCCAACATAGCAAGACGCTGTCTCTATATTAGAAAAAAAAAGATGACTTCTCAACAATAATAGAAACCATAGACAATGAAAAATACTCTAGAATTATTTTTTAATTTAGCTGTTGCTAGCTTTATCCCCTCCAGCTTTATAAAAATATAATTGACAAATACAAATTATATATATTTACAGCATGCAATGTTATATTTTGATATATTTTTACATTGTGAAATGAATAAATCAAGTGAATTAACATACTTATCACTTCATATTCAGATTATTTTGTACTACTGTCTTAGCAATTTTCAAGTATATAATACACTATTAGTAAATATAGTCACACTGCTGTAGAATAGACCTCCTGAACTTATTCATCCTAACTGAAATGTTCTGTGTTTTCATCAACATCTCCGCATTCCCCCACCCGTATCCCTGGACACTTGTAACCATTATTCTGCTCTCTGCGTCTATGAGTTCAACTTGTTGCAGATTGCCCCATGTAAGTGAGATCACGTGGTATTTGTCTTTCTGTGCCTGGCTTATTTCACTTAACACAAAGCCCACCAGGTCCATCCATGTCATCACAAATGATAGGATTTCTTTCTTTTTAAAGGCTAAATAGTATTCTATTGTGTATATATACCACATCTTCTTTATCCATTGATGGACACTTAGGTTGATTCCATATTTTGGCTATTGTGAATAATGCTGCAATGAACATGAAAGTGCAGATGCCTCTTCAGCATACTGATTTCATTTCCTTTGGCTGTAGACCCAGAAGTGGGGTTGCTGGGTCATGTGGTGGTTCTATTTTTAATTTTTTTAGGAACCTCCATACTGTTTTTTTTTTTTCGTTTTTTTTTTTAATTAATTTATTTTTTATTGATAATTCTTGGGTGTTTCTCACAGAGGGGGATTTGGCAGGGTCATAGGACAATAGTGGAGGGAAGGTCAGCACATAAACAAGTGAACAAAGGTCTCTGGTTTTCCTAGGCAGAGGACCCTGCGGCCTTCCGCAGTGTTTGTGTCCCTGGGTACTTGAGATTAGGGAATGGTGATGACTCTTAACGAGCATGCTGCCTTCAAGCATCTGTTTAACAAAGCACGTCTTGCACCGCCCTTAATCCATTTAACCCTGAGTGGACACAGCACATGTTTCAGAGAGCACAGGGTTGGGGGTAAGGTCACAGATCAACAGGATCCCAAGGCAGAAGTTTTCTTAGTACAGAACAAAATGAAAAGTCTCCCATGTCTACTTCTTTCTACACAGACACGGCAACCATCCGATTTCTCAATCTTTTCCCCACCTTTCCCGCCTTTCTATTCCACAAAGCCGCCATTGTCATCCTGGCCCGTTCTCAATGAGCTGTTGGGCACACCTCCCAGACGGGGTGGTGGCCGGGCAGAGGGGCTCCTCACTTCCCAGTAGGGGCGGCCGGGCAGAGGCGCCCCTCACCTCCTGGACGGGGCGGCTGGCCGGGCGGGGGGCTGACCCCCCCCACCTCCCTCCCGGACAGGGCGGCTGGCCGGGCAGAGGGGCTCCTCACTTCCCAGTAGGGGCGGCCAGGCAGAGGCGCCCCTCACCTCCCGGACGGGGCGGCTGGCCGGGCGGGGGGCTGCCCCCCCACCTCCCTCCCGGACGGGGCGGCTGGCCGGGCAGAGGGGCTCCTCACTTCCCAGTAGGGGCGGCTGGGCAGAGGCGCCCCTCACCTCCCGGACGGGGCGGCTGGCCGGGTGGGGGGCTGACCCCCCCACCACCCTCCTGGAAGGGCGGCTGGCCGGGCGGGGGGCTGACGCCCCCACCTCCCTCCCGGACGGGGCGGCTGGCCGGGCGGGGGGCTGCCCCCCCCACCTCCTTCCCGGACTGGGCGGCTGGCCGGGCTGGGCGCTGACCCCCCCACCTCCCTCCCGGACGGGGCGGCTGGCTGGGCGGGGGGCTGACGCCCCCACCTCCCTCCCGGACGGGGTGGCTGCCGGGCGGAGACGCTCCTCACTTCCCAGACGGGGCGGCTGCTGGGCGGAGGGGCTCCTCACTTCTCAGACGGGGCGGTTGCCGGGCAGAGGGTCTCCTCACTTCTCAGACGGGGCAGCCGGGCAGAGATGCTCCTCACCTCCCAGACGGGGTCGCGGCCGGGCAGAGGTGCTCCTCACATCCCAGATGGGGCAGCGGGGCAGAGGCGCTCCCCACATCTCAGACGATGGGCGGCCGGGCAGAGACGCTCCTCACTTCCTAGATGTGATGGCGGCCGGGAAGAGGCGCTCCTCACCTCCTAGATGGGATGGCGGCCGGGCGGAGACGCTCCTCACCTCCCAGACTGGGCAGCCAGGCAGAGGGACTCCCCACATCCCAGACGATGGGCGGCCAGGCAGAGACGCTCCTCACTTCCCAGACGGGGTGGTGGCCGGGCAGAGGCTGTAATCTCCGCACTTTGGGAGGCAAAGGCAGGCGGCTGGGAGGTGGAGGTTGTAGCAAGCCGAGATCACGCCACTGCACTCCAGCCTGGGCACCACCGAGCACTGAGTGAACGAGACTCCGCCTGCAATCCCGGCACCTCTGGAGGCCGAGGCCGGCGGATCACTTGCGGTTAGGGGCTGGAGACCGGCCTGGCCAACACAGCGAAACCCCGTCTCCACCAAAACCAGTCAGGCGTGGCGGCGCGAGCCTGCAATCGCAGGCACTCGGCAGGCTGAGTCAGGAGAATCAGGCAGGGAGGTTGCAGTGAGCCGAGATGGCAGCAGTACAGTCCAGCTGCGGCTCAGCATGAGAGGGAGACCGTGGAAAGAGAGGGAGAGGGAGACCGTGGGGAGAGGGAGACGGAGAGGGAGAGGGAGAGGGAGAGGGAGAGGGAGACCCTCCATACTGTTTTTCATAATGGCTGTACTAATTTACATTCCTACCAACAGCATACAAGGGTCTCCTTTTCTCCATATCCGTGCCAACACTTTTTATTTTTTGTCTTTTTTATAATGGGCTTTCTAACTGGAACAAGGTAATATCTCATTGTGGTTTTAATTTTCATTTCCCTGATGATTAGTAGTTTTGAGCATTTTTTCATATACCTGTTGGCCATTTGTATGTCTTCTTTTGAGAGATGTTTCAGGTCCTCTGTCCATTTTTTAGTTGCATTGTTTTCGTGCTATTGAGTTGTTTCTCTTTCTCTTTAGTGTGTCTACTAGTTTTTTTCCTTGGTGGTTATTATGAGGCTTACATAAAGCTGCTATAGTTATAACAGTTTATTTTAAGTTTATAACAACTTATCTTTGACTGCTCACAAAATCTTTACACTTTAAATTCTCCTCCCTCCCAAATTTTATGCTATTGATGTCACAATTTATGTTTTATGTATTGTATGTCCATTAATAAATTATTATAGCTATAGCTATTTTTAATACTTTTGTCTTTTAACTTTTACACTACAGTTAAAAATTATTTATGCACCTTTATTACAGTATTAGAGTATTCTGAATTTGAGTATATTCTTACCTTTACACTGAGTTTTATACTTTTATATATGTTCATGTTGTTAGTTAGCATCCTTTTGTTTGAACCTGAATTCTCTTTAGCACTTACTATAAGGCAGGGCTAGTGGTAATGAACCCCCAGAACTTTTGTTTGTTTGAGATAACCGTAGACTGCTATAACCCACTCGTTCATTAAAAACAAAAACAAAACTCTAAAACGAATTGGACTGTAAGAGGGGTTGAAAAAGTCATTTTCAGACAAATACCAAGAGAGTTTATCACCAGTCAACCCTTTCTGCAAGAATTATGCTAGGATATGTTTTAGGTAAAAGAAATTCAAGACCAGGAAGGAGTAGTAGAATGAAAGAAGGTATGTCAGGAAAGAAATAGTAAATATGTTATTAAATCTAAACATGCATTGAATGTATAAAGTACTAATTATTATCTGAAGGATATAAAAATAAGGTGCCTTTAGCAAAAACTTGGAACCAACCAAAATGCCCATCAATGATAGACTGGATAAAGAAAATGTGGCACATATACATGGAAAACTATGCAGCCATAAAAAAGAATGAGTTCACATCCTTTGCAGGGACATGGATGAAGCTAGAAACCATTATTCTCAGCAAACTAATGCAGGAACAGAAAACCAAACACCTCATGTTTTCACTCATAAATGGGAGTTGAACAATGAGCACACATGGACACATGGAGGGGAACATCACACACCGGGGGTGGGGGGCTAGGGGAGGGAGGGCATTAGGATAAACACTTAATGCATGTGGGGCATAAAACCTAGATGATGGGTTGATGGGTGCAGCAAACCACCATGGCACATGTATACCTATGTAACAAACCTGCACGTTCTGCACATGTATCACAGAACTTGAAGTAAAATAAATAAAAAAAATTAGGTGCCTTTTACTTTAGGCACCTAAAATACCTGATAACAATGAGACAGGAGGAGTGTACCAACATCCAAGGTGTTCTGACATTCTTGAATTGTTTGGGAAGAAGGTATAGATAGTGATAAACTTGATATTATGCAATATACACATTGAAAAATCAAAGATAACCAATACAAATGGAAACAGTATGTTTTATCTCTTAATGAGAGGAGAGGAAATATGTAATAAAAGAAGATTTGATCACACTGACAGAAGGCAAAAATAAGGCATGGTGAAAATATAAAGCATTAAATAAGATGATAGAAATAAATGCAAATATATTGGTAGTAACAATATAAGCAAATAAACCAAAATTTCTGATGACAGAATACAGGTTCTCAGATGGTCATTTTAATAAAAAGTCCTATGCTATGTATTCTAGGAAAATACTGACCAAAAGAAAGATGGTCTATTTTCCTTTGGCCTGGGAAAATAGACCAAAGTCTCTGATGACAGAACAGAGATTCTCAGATAGATGTTTTTATTAAAAGTCCTATGCTATGTATTCTAGGAAAATATTGACCAAAAGGAAGGTGGTATAGATATTTAGACAAAATTGATGTTAGTGTCAAACACATTATTAGGAATAATGGTGATCATTACATAATGAAAAAAGAAACAGTGGATAAGACATACATAAAGTCTCAAATTATACAGAAACCTAAGGCAGGGACAAGTTGGGTGAATTGAAGAGACAGAAAGATGGCCAGTGTGGCTCTAAACTGCCCCATCTGGGGCATCTTCTCTTCTCACATGTACCTCTCTGAGTGTCATCTCTCCCTGTCTTGATCTCAGTAATCACCTACAAGTGAAGGACTTTTTCTAGACTTCAGATGTGTATGACCAGCTGTTTGCTGACCATTTCCCCCACGCCTCCAGGCGCCCCCCACATGTATAACCTCATCCCCACCTCCTCCTCCGCACATCTACTCTTCTTCCTGTGTTCCCCTAATCTGCATGAAGCTGTCAAAATCCATTCATCACCCAAGCTAGAGAACTGGGAGTCTTCACGTGGACCAGAGTCCGATGTTCACAGGTCTCTGCATGGCAAATTGACATGGCAAGCTACATGGCACTTGGGAAGGGGCTTGGGGGACAGGAATCAGCAAAAGGAGTTAGATCATATTCTTTTAAATTTTTCTAGTTACAAATAATTCAGACAGAAAGAGTGTGTATAATAAATGTTGAAAGCCATTTCAGATCCCAGTTCCTCAAAGACAATCACTATAATAGGGTAGTGATAGGTCCTTTCAGAACTTTTAAATGTATAGGCATTTATAGGTATATGTATACTTATGTTTTGATTCTTCTGCACAATTGTGAATATATTATATGAAAAGCCAGTCCTTGCTTTTTTTCACTGAATATATTTTTATATTTTTCATATCAATTTCTGACATGTTTATAATATTACATTTTATGCCTATATCTTAATTCATTTTATGAATCTATATGTTTCAAGTTATATATATATATAAAAGTCTCAAATTATATATATGTATATAAAATATTCAAATTTCCCACTTGTACAAACAGCTGCAGTGAACAAACTTGGACATGTATCTTTGTGCAGTTGAATGAAGAAATCTGCAGAATAAATTACTAGAACTGAAATGCCTGGGTCAGTGGAGATTCACATTGTAATCTTTGATGGATTCTGCCAAATTGCCTTTAAAACTTTCTCCTAATTTACCCACTCCCCGACTGGGTATACATTTCCCTACCATCTTACCAACATTAAGCTTTATCAATATATAAAAGTGTTTTGCCAATCTGATAGGTAAAAATATATTTTTGTCATTTATTTATTTATTTTTATTTTTTATTTTTGAGATGGAGTCACTCTGTTGCCCAGGCTGCAGTGGCTCACTGCAACCTCCACCTCCCAGGTTCAAGTGATTCTCCTGCCTCAGCCTCCCAAGTAGCTGGGATTACAGATGCCCACCACCACGCCTAGCTAATTTTAAATATATTTTTAGTAGAAATGAGATTTCATCATGTTTGCCAGGCTGGTCTTAAACTGCTGACCTCAAATGATCCACCTGCCTCGGCCTCCCAAAGTGTTGGGATTACAGGTGTGAGCCACTGCGCCCGGCTTACTTTTGTCATTTTAATCTGTACTTCTTTGAGCACTGTCTTTCTTTTAAGTGAATTTCTAGTCCAAGTCTCCTGCACATTTACTATTAGGTTGTTTTTTTTTTTATTGAGTCATAGAAAGCTCTTTATACATGAACACTATTAACCTTTTGTATGTAATAAATGTTGAAAATGTTTTCCCTCAATTTGTCATTTGTACTTTAGTTTTATTTGTAATGTCTTTTGCCTTACAGACATTTCAAATATTTATGTAGTTAAACCTTGTCATTTATTATTTCCAGATTTATTTTTACTTTACCACCTTGTTTTTTAACTACCAGTTAATGATTTTACTCTCTAGTTAATCATGAGTTACTTGGGGGCATAGGCTGCCTCTTACTCACATCTGTAGATCTTTCTCAAGAAATCACTCACCCTAGAGCCCTGGCTATGATAAGTGCTCCGTAAATAAGCACATGTTTAAATTTTATTGAATCGACAGAGTTCAGTGTGCTGTAAAATAAGCAAACATAGAAAATGTAATTCCAAGATTGAAGTTGAGGGAAAAGCTCCAAGGTGCTTTGGCATACAAAACAAAATGCATGGTGAATTAAAACTGTAATTTCAATCGATATATGGAGTAAGATCACGGTTAAATTCAGCTGGCAATAGAAAATTATTAAAAAGATCACAAGAAATGTGTTCTATATTGGTTTCACTTTAAAAGCTGTTTTTGTCCCTGAATTATCTGCTTTCAGAATCAGAGTTTAATACGGAAGAGTCATAGTTTAATATAAAAATAGTCACAGTTTAATATAAAAAGTCAGAATTTAATATAAAAATAACAAAGTGGGGAGTTCAGATGGTAATCTGGATCTCATGTAAAACACATGCCCGGTGACTGGGGCCACTTTAACTACCCTGTGTCTGCTCTTTGCTGGTGACAGTCTACACTGATTGCAGAACACATGGGGAAAAGGAAAGACAGGCTCTTAAGTACGAGAACTGCACACCTCAAGCTGTAATATGCTGCTGTTGTTTACATTCTTAATGCTGCTCATCGAAACTTGGAAGGCATGTGATGTTGGGGAAATCCCTGGGCCTCATTTTGGCTGTTTTAAAAACAAAGCGGGTTCACTGCATGATCTCGGCAGTTCGTCCTGAAACTGAGGTCCTTGGAGCGTACGAGACTCTTCCTGTGAAATGATTTCCAGGGCCCTGCCTTTGTGGAATTCCCCTGTGATTCCATCTGAGGTGTGAAGGCAAACCCATCACAGTTGTTACCAGCTGTTCTGTGAGGCTGCGCTGGGAGCCCCCAAGAGCATCAACACCGACGTCTGTATAAGTTAAATTAAATTCCAGGATCTGGTGTGAAGCTGGAACAGGCCTTGATGTTTTTATCTGTCTGCTGCTGAATTCCTCTGGGGCCTATCGCCTCAGCTGAGAGCACACGAGGGAAAGGGAATGGAGTGGAAGGGACAGTTTTCTCTCTTTTATTTATGTAGGTTAATAATCATTTTATTATATAAATTATACCCTGGTCACTTCCTAAAAGGACTGAAGATAATTCATGAGTTCACTTGAATTATGGTACTCTATCCCTGCCCTATGCCAGACCCAATGCTGGAGGCTTGGGGAAAGAGAAACACATGAAAAAAATCTGATACTGTGTCTTACATGGTATTAGAGAGGCCTTGGGGTATACAGGGTTATGGGGACACATGGAAAGAAAAAGCAATTCTGATGGTCCAGAGGTGGGCATGGAGGGGAAGAGAGAGGGAAAGGGGATGTCAATTTCTTGAGTACCTTTTAGGAAGGAATATGTCATCATGACCAAGGGCACAGGATTTGGCGACAGGTAAGACTGGGTTCAACTTATTTAAACCTCAGTTTTCTCATCAGCAAAATGGAGTAATAATAGAATTTCCTTTATTGGGTTGGTAGGCAGATTAAGTGAAAAAGGCATATAAAGCACTTAGCCATGCTTAGTGTCCAGCACATGGCAAGCATACCATATGTGGTCACTGCTTTTATTATTATTCTGCTTATCAGTCAGTCAGATGCACTTACTATCGAAGACTGCATTGTACTTGGTTTACAGATGAGGAAACAAAGGCTCAGAGAGCTTATATAATTTGCCCAAGGCCACTCAGCTTGAAAATGGCAGAAGCAAAATTCCAATGAACTTCAAAGCCCATTTTCTTCCCACTGCTGTGCTGTGCTGCTGCTGAAGGAAGGTTCCCCAAAGACCTGATATTTGAGTTGGGTGTTAAGGAATGAATAGAGGTTGCTTTGTGGGCCTTAGAGAAAAGGAAATGCTCTACAACCCTCCAGCCTCAAAGAGGTGGATTTGGCCAACAAGCTGAATGAACTCAGAAGTGGATTCTTCCCTCAGAGACTCCAGAATGGAGTGCAGCCTGGCTGACACCTTGAGTTCAGCAGACCCGAGCAGAGGACACGGTCATCCCATGCTCAGGCTTCTGACCTACAGAACCGCAAACAAGCAAATGGGTATTGTTTTAGGCTGATAAATGTATGGTCATTGGTTATGCAGCAATAGAAAATGAATACAATGATTCAAATATAAAAAGAACATGTATCAAACACTTCATTTAACTCAGTAAATGAGGGGATCCATCCGCTGTTACAACTCACTCAAAGGAGAATTCACAGAACTGCACAAGTAGGCAATCAAGAATGTTGAAATAGATACAAATGTCATCAACATCCCCAGAGCAATAAGCAATTGCATCTCCAGTGGGTAAAATTCATTTGTGCTTTTTTTTTTTTTTTTTAAAGACGGAGTCTTACTCTGTTGCCTAGGCTGGAGCGCAGTGGCACAATCTCGGCTCACTGCAACCTCTGCCTCCCGGGTTCAAGCGATTCTCCTGCCTCAGCCTCCCACGTAGCTGGGGCTATAGGCCCCTGCCGCCACGCCCGGCTAATTTTTTTGTATTTTTAGTAGAGATGGGCTTTCACCATATTGGCCAGGCTGGTCTCAAACTCCTGCCCTTGTGATCCGCCCGCCTTAGCCTCCCAAAGTGCTGGGATTACAGGCGTGAGCCACCGCACACGGCCAATTCATTTGTACTTCTATGGACTGGAATTATTTGCATTGCTATCAGTTGTCTACAACATATAAAATTGTAAGATAGCTTGAAAACAGTTAAAGGAGCAGATAACCCAAAAGGATGCTTTAGAAGAACATCTAGTGATCATGTTTTGCCCATTTTAAAGTCTTTCCCAATTTTTCCTGATGAGTGGCATGGAAATACCGCTTCAAGATAGGCCACAGCCACACACAGTCCTCCACAACCTATTGTCGCCACTCAATCCTGCCACAGAGAAATTGTGAATTGACTACAGGCTGGGATTCCATGAGGCCAAGTGCGGCAGGGGCTTAGCCCAGCCTTGACCATTTACAAGCCCTGGAACATCCATTATCTGGCTCATTATTTTGTCTTTTCACAAGATTCCTGTGGGTAAGGCAGAACCAGTAACAATTATCCCCATTATGTTTCCAAGGAAACTGAGGGTCAGAGAGGAGGAGGACATGTTCAGGGTCACTCAGGGAGTCAATGACAGAACTTGGATATGACCTCCCTTTCCATCAGCTTACCATCTTCACTGCCCCCTGCCTCCTTATCCTCTGACAGGTAAATTTCTGTCCCTCAGCCCCTTTCCTCCTGCCTGGTGGACCATCCTTCCTGCAGCCACATTGCAGGGCGGGGAACCTGGGCACTGGCTATGGCCTTGCCTGTCCCTTGTCCAGTCTGCAGGCAGCAATCTTGCTTTGCAAAGCTGGCCTGATCCAGTGCCCCTGCCCCTACCAGACCCTCTCCCATTGTGCACTGAACACATTCATGCCTGTGTTCCCTTCCCTTGCTCCAGCAGCCCGACAGCCCCCAGAACAATGCCCAGACATGACTTACCCAGACCTGCTGTGCCAGGGCCACCTGCTCTGCCTCCCAGGCTCTCCACCCTGGCCACTTGCCTCTGTTGGTTTCCCATTGGCACGGGGTTGGGAAGTCATCTGTGAGACCAGGCACGCCGGTCTGCTGGAGACTCTTCCCAAACTGTCCTCCTGACCCCATGCCAAGCACTGGTGCAGGACAAGCCATTGGTGCCAGGCTGAGCAGCTGGGCGGCAAGCTGGCCACCTGCTCAGCTCACAAAGTATAAAGTTTACTTTGTGTTGACATTTTTTAATTTGTAAACTCTATTTTAATCTTTAATTTAATAGAGACAAGGTCTTGCCATGTTGCCCAGGCTGGTCTCAACCTCCTTTTCTCAAGTGATCTGCCCACCTCAGCCTCCCAAAGTGCTAGGATTACAGGTGTGAGCCACAGCGCCTGGCCTGCATTGACTTTTGAATCCTGGAGCTGAGACTGTCAGAGCTGACAGGTTTTGAAAAGAGCCTTACACTATTCCGATGGGGTCACGGAAGTCCAGAGAGGAGTAGGGACCTGCTCGTTGACTGGCAGCCTGGTGGTTGGCACTGGACCTGCCAGGTCAGGCGGGGGTTTAGTACTGACCCATCCTCACCATCTGCTCCTTGGAGGCCCCTGGGGGTGCAGATCACAGGGAAATAGGGTGCACATTGATCAGGACATTTTGATTCGCTAAAAAAACAGAATGGCCAGGGAATCTGAGTGCTGGCATCGAGTGTCAGCTCAGGTGCGTAATATCAGTGTTTCAGTCTCCCCATGCTTCATCCCTTTCCCTGTGCCTGTATCTTAGGCTCCAGTCCTGTACGGGAGACACATGCTATCTCCTAGACACAGGACGCTCTTCAATACCACTAAGCCTTCCACTGTGTGGCTCCTGCTGCCTGCACTGCCCTTTTCCGATGCCTACTTGTTTTAAGGTTCTGGCAAAACTCCTGCATGGACCTCTGAGCGTTTCCTTCTGGCTGCACTCCGGCTGCCGCCAGTGGAACTGACCTGCCTCAGCAGCCCCTTACCCTTCTCGAGAGATTCACAGCACCTGGGATACTTGCTTCCTCCTTTTATTCACGTGTCCCTAGAGCCTTTAGTTTGCAAGCCTCTTGGAGTGGCGACCAGGCATACCTCCATATTTGCACACCTGGATGAGGTCTGGCACACACTCAGTCCCGGAATCCAGTTTCAGCTCAGTTGTCTGACATCAGGATCTAGTTTCCTCACTCCTCATCCTCTTGCCTAAATGTGTGTTTGCTACAAGTCTGCTGAATGTGGGCTATACTTAGAATACAAAAAGGGACAAATATTTTCAGTGATATTTATGAAGGCTTTAGAAAGCATCAAATGTATGTGATTATGGAGAACGATATGGAAATAATATAACGAAAACCCTTAGAAATTTACCTTGGTTAAAAATATAATAGAGAAATGATCTTAAAGGCAATTTAACGAGTTTCTGATCTTAACTAAATGGAATGTCTTTTTCACATATTTTAAAATACATCCTATTTATTAAAATTGTAACAACTTTTTAAAAGGTCCAGATGTCTTGAACGATCCTTGAGCATGAATATTTTTGAAATGCATTAAACTTTTTTTTTCATCCAATCTGTGGGATGGAAAAAGAACACCTTTTTTTTTTTTTAATAAAGGGAGAAAGGAAAGAAGGAAGGAGAAGAGAAAGAAAGGAAGAGAGAAAGACAAGTTTGGAGGGAGGGAAGGAAAATGGAGAAGGAAGGAAGAGATGGGAAGGGAAGGAAAGGGAAGGGAGAGAACAAAAGAAGGAGGGGAAAGAGGGAGGAAAAGTCACAATACCCCTTTGGTTTCCTTCATTGTGCTGGTCATACGATGCCATTGGGGTAAATGATGCCACCTCTCTGGGTCTTGGCTCCTTCATCAAAAGCTAGAGTTGGGTGCTGTCGTGAGGGAATGCTGGGAGGGCAGATGATCATTGCATTATTTATATTTCAATTACCTTGGGCCCAGTCTTTGGCTACTGACATTTGAAGCCAAATCTCTTCCTCATTCCAAGCCTCAGTTTCCAAAATGAGGGAGTTGGACCAGATGAGAGGAAGGTCACTTTCTGCTTCCACAATCTGTGGACCAGCCTCTGGCAGGCTGATTGTAAAAAAGCAAAAAGTGCTGCAATAAACATATGTATGCATGTGTCTTTATAGTAGAATGATTTATAATCCTGGATAAAGAAAATGTGGCACATATATACCATGGAATACTATGCAGCCATAAAAAAGAATGAGTTCAGGTCCTTTGCAGGGACATGGATGAAGCTGGAAACCATCATCCTCAGCAAACTAACACAGGAACAGAAAACCAAACACCACATGTTCTCACTCATAAGTGGGAGTTGAACAACGAGAACACATGGATACCGGGAGGGGAACATCACACATCGGGGTCTGTTGGGGGTTAGAGAGCAAGGGGAGGGAGAGCATTAGGACAAATACCTAATGCATATGGGGCTTAAAACCTAGATGATGGCTTGATGGGTGCAGCAAACCACCATGGCACATGTATACCTATGTAACAAACCTGCACATTCAGCACATGTATCCCAGAACTTAAAGTAAAATAAAACTAAAAAAGAAGAAGAAAAAAGATGATGTCAGAGCCAGGAAAGTTCCAGTGCCCAGGTTTGAAAGGAGACATCTCCCTCTTTCTCACGGTTTCCCCACTGTGTAGAGCCAGACAATTCAGCCAGCTGCCGGGGACCTCCAATGAGTCCCTCCACATTTCAGATCCTTTTGTCCTTTGTGCCTGGAAGTCGGTCAGCTCACTCTGACCTTCTGCCTGTCCCTCATCTGTCAGAGCAGCTGTTGGAAAGTGAAGCAGTTGGATCTAGACAACAGGGGAAGAGTTGTTTGCTTTCGTGCTGGGGAACGAAGAAACCCACACAGCTCCTTTTGTGGGTTGTATTAAAATGCATCTGCAGGCGTTATTATTCCTAATTATAAGTAGCTTAATAATGTCTCTGAAGCAGAGGGTATATGGAGATGGCCAGGAGTCTTGAATTCGTATTGTAGCTCAGCTGGAAAAGGGAAGGATGCTTTGGCATAAATACATGGGTGTTCAAATTGATGGCTCAGGGGTCCAGGATTTATAGAGCCAAGCTTTGGGAATGGTTGTGGGTGGCACCCACTTTCACTGTGTCCATGGCTGAGTAACACCCTTGGCCTTTCCACAGGGCGTCTGCTCAGCAACACCTTCCCCGTCCTGGGCATTCAGTTTTGTGAGGCAGTTTTTTATTTTTATTAAAATTTTTTTTTTTTGCAACAGAGTCTCTCTCACTGTTGCAACACTGTCACTCTCTCATGCAGTGGCACAATCTCGGCTCACTGCAGCCTCTGCCTCCCGGGTTCAAGTGATTCTCCTGCCTCAGCCTCCCAAGTAGCTGGCATTACAGGCATGCGCCACCACGCCCAGCTATTTTTTGTATTTTTCATAGAGATGGGGTTTCACCAGGTTGGCAAGGCTGGTCTCAAACTCCTGACCTCCAGTGATCTGCCTGCCTCAGCCTCTCAGAGTGCTGAGATTACAGGTGTGAGCCACTGCACCCGGCCTTGTTAGGCAGTCTAGACAGAGCATAATAAGTGGCACTGTGACAAGCAGAGGGACATTGAACAAAGCCATGCTAAGGGGAGACATCACAAGACCAGCTCGGTGTGTAAATGCAAGCAGGACTCAGTGAGTTTTCTATTTGTGTCCAGGAGGTGAGGGGACCAAATGCCTCAGAGGCTGGCATTTGAGACCCATAACCTCTCCGGTGGCAGATGGGACACTGATGCTTGAGCTGTGACCTTCCTGGGTTCCCACAGCTGGGCAGAGCAAAGTGAGGTAGAAGCCCAGGGTTCGGCCTGGCCCATTCCTCTCCGTTTTCCACCATGGGGCCTCCCAGGGTTTCCTCTTCAAGCCTCAAGGCAGGCCAGGGCTGGAAGTAGCACAGAGCTGATGAAGGGGAGGCAGTGCCATGCTGTCTGCAGAAGTCTAGAACCTTGGGCCATTAAGGAGGTGCTAAGGCATAAAGAGACTCCTTGAGCCAAGAAATAGACCAAGAAGATGCTTGCCATGGGTAGGGGGATGCCACGTATCTAGGGTCAGATGTACATTTGACGTGATTTCTGCAGTTCACCGTTTGGCAAATGCTGACATTAGTGAGGCACACAGGGCCCAACAGAAAACGGAGCCGTGACCTGGGAGGCGGGGAGCTGGGTGTGTGGTGTGGTTCTCTCTCTGCCTCCCAGCCCCTGCTGGTTCAGTGCTGAGCACCTATGATGATGCCAGGTGCTACACAAGTGGCTTTCATCTGCTTCACTCATTCTGTCCTTGTGCTGTGTGCTTCCTGCTCCCTGGTAACCCCAAGACTGACTCAGGATAGAAGCGACAGGGAGGGGACTCCTGGAGAAAGCCCCCAAGGTGCTGTGGGCAGAAGCAGGGTCCTTCTTACTCTCTGAGTGTCCGTGTTGACAGTGCTGAGCAAAGTGCAGTGGGTGGTATGAGGCCAGGCTGCCCTTTGTACACCCACCAATAGCGTCAGCAGGGAAGTCAACATGCTACCGTGAGAGCTGTTGAGACCAGAATGCAAAGATGCACGAGGAATAGAATGAGTGCAGAACTGAGAGACATCACGAGCAGGCAGGAGAGCAGCCCTCTGCCCAGCCCACTCTAGGGGTCCAGCCCTCTGATGGAGCCGCCGGCTGTGACTCTGGCTCTCTCGTGGTGGGCCCTCTCCTGAAGCCGCATCCCACAGACAGCTTGGCCACTCCCTTGCTCCTTTCCCAGGGGTGGTGAGCAGCCCAGAGTCCTGCCCAGCACTGCAAAGGAGGAAGAAACCTCAGCCAATGGAAGCCGAGGGGAGCTGCCAGGAGCTGTCCTGAAGGGAACTGAGCAGAGGCTGCTGGCTGAGCCACTCTGGAGGGGGCTGCTGGAGTCTCCCAGAAGCTAAGGCTGCTCACAGGAGCCAGGGACTCTCATATTTGCCCTGTCGGTGCCATTGAGCAGAAGAGGAAGACAGGGATGTATCAGAGGGCTCCAGAACCTGCCGTGGGAGCCCAGGCTGGCCATGTGAGGAAAGCTTCTGGTGGGCATGAGTCTCATTTTGAAGCTGGTCTCTGGAATCCAAGCTTCTGGAGGGTCCCAGGTGCAGGGTCCCCTGAAAAGCCCCAGGGTCCTGGTAGGAGCCTGGCTGCACCCACCATTCTGTTGTATAATTGGGAGCAATGGAGGCAAAGAGGATGCCATGACTCACCAGGAATCCACAGGGGCAGAGCCGATCAAGGAAATCCCATGGATCCGGAGACACGGAGAAACCTGTGTCTCTATGTGGTGAGCCACGGCGTGGAGGCCTCAGCTAGGCAGGGGCAGCACCCAAGCTGGAGCTGGGAGGGAGGGGACACACTTGAGTGAGTCAGTTCCTTAAAATAGATCTCTCTCCCTCTACACACACACACACACACACACACACACACACACACACGCACACTGACTCTGTTTCTCAGGAGAAGCCTGACTAACACACATAGTGAAGAGGCAACCAAAGGTGGCAGAGTGGAAGCTACTATGGAATTTTGGAACAAGAGATAGCAGACAATGACATGTAAATTCCCCACCTCCACCCCAGATGCAAAAATCCTAAGCAGCACAGCTCTCCCTGGCTCTCTGGGGGATTGGTTCCAGGACCTGCTCACAAATCCCAAAATTCACAGACACTCAAGCCCCTGATATCAAAAGGCGTAGTATTTGCATATAACCTGTACACATCCTCCCCTATACTTTAAATCTTCTCTAGATTATTTTAAAAACCTAATACAATGTAAATGAGATGTAAATAGTTGTTATACGGTATTGTTTAGGGAATTATGACTGTATAAAAAAAAGTCTGTATGTGTTCAGTATAGACACAACCATTCTTTGGATTCAGAGAGATGACTGTATTTAGGAAGAGACTGAATTTCTTATCAAAGCCAGGCTAGGGGTGTATCAAGCAGATTCAACGCAGGGAACACAAATCCCACTGGCTCCTTAGGCAGGAAAGGATTTAACCAGGGCATGGGTGCTTACCCAGTCATTGGGAGGGTTAAAGGACTTGGCTCCAGGAAGAACTCTCAGGACTGCACAAAACTGACCACTGGGGTTGCTAATGCCTCTGAGAACCCACTGGGGCTCTGCTTGAATACAAAAGCTAAAACTTCCACTGTTGCAGCTGCTGCTGCAAAAGGCTCTGGGTACCAGCAAGCTGGAAAATGGACAGGGAACCCTGCTGCAGGGAAACTGTGTTTCTGTGGCCTTGCTTGCTGGAAGAACAGCAAGCAGGGGTCAGGAAAGTGGGGCTTCTGCACTTCTGATTTGCAAAACTCATACGAGTGTACCCAATGGATGGTACTTACTTCCCATCCATGATTCTCACCACAGGGCATCTGGGAAATGTCATCTTAAGCTGCCCAGCCTCTCCAACCAGAAGGAGGGTGGACTGGAGCAATCCAGTTCACAGGACTGTCCAGGGAACTGGACTCTGAAGACTGTGGGGGCCTATAGGAGTGCATGCAAACAGGAAAGCGAGGCTCACACAGACAACAGCAATCAGCCACAGGGTGAGCAGCCATGCCTCAACCACGCCTGCCTTCCTAGATGCAGGGGATAAAAGAGCACAGCTGCTTGGAGCAAGAAAGGGTTTGTTGCTCTCCATGTGGAAGGTAGAGAGCATTTAGCAGGAGATGGGAATTTCGGTCCAAATGCAGTTGAGATCATATCTTGGCTTTGTTCCCCACAAACGCACAGTTATTTGTATTTCAGCATAAAATTCAAACTCCCAGAACCTGATTAACAAAGGCAGTGCACCACGCATTCCCCCAGAGGCCAGCCAGATGGAAAGCCCAGCGGAATTCCACTTTGAAGTATTCTGTGTTATCTGACTCATTTGCAAAAGAAATGAGCTTTATGGGATGTTCGAATGTTTCCAGACATAACCAGTTGCCCCCAAGCGAGAATAAAGTTATACTCTCTCCTTCACCTTGTGCACATGCAGGCGGGCACGGATGTACACAGCACAGTTAGAATCAAAATATGCCTCCCTTGCCAGGCTCCCCAGGGGGCTGGCAGAAGAGGGAATAAAAATAAAAATGCCTTGGATGAAGTGATGATGGATTTGTTTCTCCCCCACTTTGACAGTGGAATCAGAACAACTGTATGGCTAGTCTAACAAATAGCACATGCCTTTGTCATTAGGAAAATGCAAAATAGGTTTCTAGGTATGGTCAGTCATACAGCCTCTAAAGCTCTGTGGTATCAGGAAAAGCACAGATAGATTTGGGTTCAAATCTCAGCCCTGCTGATTCCCAGCCATATGACCCTAGAAAAGTAGCTTCTGCTCTCTGAGCCTCAGTTTCTTTTTCTGTAAAATAAGCATTAAAAAATATTGATCTCATGCTGTGGTTATGAGAAGAGCGTGAAAGGGCCTTGGAAACCACAAAGGGCTGTGCGTACCTCAAAATTCCTCCCTCTACACACCTAGTGATCCCGCCACCCCTAGGCCACTCCTTTCCCTGAATCCAGTGAGCAATTTCCCACCCCTGTGCCTTTGATCATGCTGTTCCCTCTGTTTAGAAGCCTTCTCCTGCCTATTTCCCCACATCCTTGCCAACATCTGCTGTTAACCTCTTTTTTGGTGGGGGTGCTGGAGTGGACATTCCCCATGCCAATTCAGAAGGTGGAAATTGTGTAGAGGCTTGGCTGTGTTCACTTCTCAGTAACTCAGCATCTCAAGGAACCTGGAACATTAGAATTAAAAGAGTCTGCAGGGACCATCCAGTCCAACCACTCTTTAATGGGATAGGAAAATGGAAGCAGAGAGGGGCCAAGGTGTATGCCCACCTGTGCCAGGCACATCAGCCGGGTGGGTTGAGGGGCCCTGCAACACCTATGCCACGTGACAGTGCCTTGTTGGCCAAATTTCTGGGTCTTTTCTGTTTTTCCCCATTGTATTTGTCAGGGTTCCCCAGAGAAACAGAAACAAGGAGAAATATCTAATCTATATCTATCATCTATCGATCTATCGATCTATCTATCATCTATCTATCTATCTATCTATCTATCTATCTATCTATCTAATCTATCATATATCTATCTAATGAGAGAGAGAGAGAAAGACAGACTGAGTTATTGTGAGAAATTTTCTCATGGAATTATGGAGACTAGCAGGTCTAAAATCTGCAAAGCCAATGTCCTGTCCTATTTTGAAGGCCCTTAGGCAGGAGACTTTTCTCTTACTTGGATCAGCCTTTGTTTCAGGCCTTTGATTCTAGCCTTCAACTGATGGGATGAAGTCCAGCCCATTATGGAGGACAATCTGCTTTACTCATTTTACTAAGTTAAATGTTCATCTCATCCAAACCCCACCCCTGACCTTACAGAAACACCCAGAATAATGTAGAACCAACTATCTGGCCCAGCCAAGCTGACACATACAATTAACCATCACGTGAAGGTTGAAATGAAAGTTGAAAACCCTCAGGACTTAAGTAAGCAGGAGTGTGTCTATGAGATGCATATTTAAAACACAAAGAACAGGTACACAAAGGTGATAGGTGTGGTTTGGACATTTTAAAAAATTCAAATATTTCTAAATGACATTTCCAGTTTTAAATGGCAATTGATAGTACCCTCCTCCACCCCAACTACAAATTTTCACTAATGGAACCATGAAGCCACAGCATTGCTTGCAGGCATACAGATGACTCAGGTGGACAGAAAACTTTCTGCTTAAATCTGAGAGGACACTCCACTAATGATAAGACAGGTGAAGAAGATTGAAATACCTTCTGGTGTTCACCTCCTGAAACACAGAATTACTTAAAGCAGATAGGAGGCTCCTGCATACCTCCTCCACCATCTGACCCTGGACAAACCTAGAGTCAAGATCAGTGAGGGCACCTTCAGTGTCCACCTTCAGCCCCTAAATACCATCTTCCTACTTAATCCCTGCCCAGGATCTCAAGGAAAATAGCTGTATAAATCTCAGGGGAGTTTAAAACAACAATAACAGGCCATTCGCACCTGCCAGATTGCGGGGAAAGCCTGGCAACACTAAACACTGGGAAGGAGATGACTGGGAGGCAGGTTCACTAACAATTAGCCCCAAGGGAGGCCTCCCACTGCATGGAGGGCAGCAGAGACCATCACTGCACCAACCACCAGGAACAGGAGTCCAAGCACTCCTCCCACTGCATCTTGGACTGCAGTGTTACCAACACCCGAGTCCGGTGAAACAGAACACACTCACGTGCAACAAGTTTATTACTTACAGGTAGGCAGCAAGGGACAAGAGAAACCTAGGATTCATTGTAAGCTGGTACCCCAAGGCTCAAGATAACTGCATGGGGTAGATAGGGTCTTGCCTGCACGTTTCCCACTTTGCATAAAACCTGAGAGACCCCGAAAGGCAGCCCACTCTGGGTTATAGACCTCAGGGGCAACAGGACTCACTGGGCAAAGCTTTGATGGACATCCTGCTTCCAGGGGAGAGAGGAACAGAGCCCGGACTGTCCCAGGCAGTTCCTCCCTAACTCAAGATATTACATTCCCTAGGAGGGATAGGAACAAGGCCCAGGCTGCTCCTGGCCTCCTCTCTATCTCAGGATATTGCATTCCCAGCACATTCTACAGTTATGCTTGAGAATTACAAGCAAAAAGAGGAAGGAATTGCGTTGGTCCAAGGCGACCCAGAGAACTGTCCTGCAATGACCTCACTTTAACTTTCACACCTCAAAGGATCATGGTAAATTTTGCATCATCTTCCATGACTTCTCAACCATATTCGACACCACTAAACATTCCCTTTTCTAAAGACTTTCTTCCCTTGACCTCCAGGAAGACATGCTCTCCAGTAGCTCCCCACCTTGCTGGATGTCACTTCTCAGTCTTTTCTGGCCCCTCCTCTGTCCTCCACGTGTTACTACAGACATATGTCATTTCATTATGCTTCACTTTATTGCACTTCACAAATATTGCTTTTTAAAAAAAAACAAACTGAAGGTTTGTGGCAACCCTGTGTCTAGCGAGTCTATTGGCACTATTTTTCAAGCAACATGTGCTCACTTTGTGTCTCCATGGTACATGATGGCATTTCTAGCAAAATTTCAAATATTTTCATTATTAATATATCTGTAATTGTGATCTGTGATTAGTGATTTTTGATGTTTTTATTGTAATTGTTTTGGGACACCACAAACTGCACCTATATAAGATGGCAAACTTAATTGATGAATTTTGTGTGTTGACTGTGTGTGACTGTTTTGACTGCTCCACTCACCCTCTCTCTCTCCCTCTCTTCAGGCCTCCCTATTCCCTGAGACACAACCATATTGAAGTTAGGTCAATTAATAACCCTATAATGACCTCTAAATGTTCAAGTGAAAGGAAGAATTGAATGAACATCTCTCTTTTGAAATCAAAAGCTAGCAATGATCAAGCTTAGTGAGGAAGGCATGTCGAAAGCTGACATCAGTCAAAAGCTAGAGCTCTTGTGCCAACAGCCAGGTTGTGAATGCAAAGGAAAAGTTCTTGAAGGGAAATGAGAAGTGCTACTCCAGTGAACACATGAATAATAAGGAGTAAAAGAGCCTTATTGCTGATAAGGAGAACACTTGAGTGGTCTGGATAGAAGATCAAACCAGCCACAAGATTTCCTTAAGCCAAAGCCTAACCCAGGACAAGGCCTTAACTCTCTTCAACTCTGTGAAGGCTGAGAAAGGGGAGAAAATTACAGAAGAAAAATTGTAAGCTAGCAGAAGTTGGCACATAAAGTTGAGTGAAAGAAGTGATCTCCATAACATAAAAATGCAAGTTGAAACAGCAGGTGCTGACATGGAAGCTGCAGAGAGTTATCCAGAAGGTCTAACTAAGATCATTGATGAAGGTGGCAATGCTATACAACAGATTTTCAGTGCAGATGAAACAGCCTTATACTGGAAGAAGATCCCATCTAACACTTTCATAGCCACAGAGGAGAAGTCAATGCCTGGCTTCAAAGCTTCAGAGGACAAGCTGACTCTTTCATTAGAGGCTAATACAGCTGGTTACTTTAAGTTGAAGCCACTGCTCATTTGCCATTCTGAAAATCCTAGGGCCCTTGAGAATCATGCTGAATCTATTCTGTCTGTGCTCTTTAGATGGAAGAACAAGGCCTAGATAACAACATATCTGTTTACAGCATGGTTTACTATTTTAAGTTCACAGTTGAGACCTACTCCTCAAGAAAAGATTCCTTTCAAAATATTACTGCTCCTTGACTCTGCACCTGGTCACCCAAGAGCTCTGATGGAGATATACAAGAAAATGAATGTTGTTTTCATGCCTAACCCAACATCCATTCTGCAGCTCATGGATCAAGGAGTAATTTTGAATTTCAATTCTTGTTATTTAAGAAATATCTTTCACAAGGCTATAGATGCCATAGATAGTGATTCTTCTGATGGATCTGGGCAAAGTGAATTGAAACCTTCTGAAAAGGATTCATCATCTAGATGCCAGTAAGAACACGCATGGGCCAGGCGCGGTGGCTCACGCCTGTAATCCCAACACTTTGGGAGGCCGAGGCAGGTGGATCATGAGGTCAGGAGATGGAGACCCTCCTGGCTAACACGATGAAACCCCATCTCTACCAAAAATACAAAAAATTTGCCAGGCATGGTGGTGGGCTCCTGTAGTCTCAGCTACACAGGAGGCTGAGGCAGGAGAATGGCGTGAACCCGGGAGGCGGTGCATGCAGTGAGCCAAGATCGTGCCGCTGCACTCCAGCCCTGCACTCCAGCCTGGGTGACAGAGCAAGACTCTGACTCAAAAAAAAAAAAAAAAAAAAAAAAAAAAAAAAAAAAAAAAGAACACTCATGATTAATGGGAGGAGGTGAAAATATCAACATTGACAAGAGTTTGGAAGAAGTTGATTCCCACCCTCAGGGATGACTTTGAGGAGTTTAAAAATTCAGTGGAGGAAGTAACTATATATGTGGTGGAAATAGAAAGAAAACTACATTAGAAGTGAAGCCTGAAGATATGACTAACTGTTGTAACCTCAAGATAAAACTTGAGTAGATGATTTGCTTCTTACAGATGAGCAAAGAAAGTGATTTCTTGAGATGAAATCTACTCCTGGTGAAGGTGCTATGAACATCGTTCAAATGACAACAAAGGATTTAGAATAGTACATAAAATTAGTTGATAAAGCAGCAACAGGATTTGAGAAGACTGACTCAAATTTGGGATGAAGTTAAACTGTGATTAAACGCTATCAGAGGCCGAGCATGGTGGCTCATGCCTGTAATTCCAGCACTTTGGGAGGCCGAGGCGGGTGGATCACCTGAGGTCAGGAGTTCAAGACCAGCCTGGCCAACATGGCGAAACCCCATCTCTATTAAAAGTACAAAAATTAGCCTGACATGGTGGTGTGCACCTGTAATCCCAGCTACTCGGGAGGCTGAGACAGGAGAATCGCTTGAACCCCGGAGGCGGAGGTTGCAGTGAGCTGAGATTGTGCCATTGCACTCCAGCCTGGGTGACAGAGTGAGACTCCATCTAAAAATAAAATAAAATAAAATAAAATAAAATAAAATGCTGTCGGCATTGATGCTATAGGGAAATCTTTTGTGAAGGAAAAATTCACTGATGCAGCAAACTTCTTTTTTTTTTTTTTTTTTTTGAGACAGAGTCTCACTCTGTCACCCAAGCTGAAGTGCAGTGGCATGATCTCAGCTCACTGTAACCTCCACCTCCTGGGTTCAAGCGATTCTCCTGCCTCAGCCTCCCGAGTAACTAGAATTGCAGGTGCATGCCACAATGCCCAGTTACTTTTTGTATTTTTAGTAGAGACACGGTTTCACCATGTTGGCCAGGCTGGTCTCGAACTCCTGACCTCAGGTGATCCGCCTGCCTCGGACTTCCAAAGTGTTGGGATTACAGGTGTGAGCCAACATGCCCAGCCCATTGCTGTCCAATTTTAAGAAATTGCCACAGCCACCCCAATCTTCAGTAACCACCACCCCCATGAGTCAGCAGCCATCAAAATCAAGGCAGAAGCCTCCACCAGCAAAAAGATTACAACTCATTGAAGGCTCAGATGATCCTTAGCATTTTTTGGTAATAAAGTATATTTTAATTAAGGTAAGGACATTTTTTAGACATACTCTAGTGCACACTTACTAGACTACAGTATACTGTAAACATAACTTTTATATGTACTGGGAGACCAGAATATTTGTGTAACTCACTTTATTTCAATATTTGCTTTATTGTGCTGGTCTGGAACCAAACCTGCAATGTCTAAGGTCTGTCTGTATTGATGATATGTCCCAGGTCTCAGTCCTCAGATGCTTTCTTTTTCACTATACACACTTAGATGACCTCCTTAGTCTCATGGCTTTAATACTATCTAGCTACTAACAATTACCAACTTTACATGACATCCATACCTAAACTTTTTCCTTAGAACCACGCTTGGGTTTTCAACTGCCAACTCAACATCTCTACTTGGTTATCTAAGTGTATCCAACTCAGCCTCAGCTCAGGCTGCTGTAACAAAATAACATGCACTGAGTGGCTTAAGCCACAGAAATTTATTTGTCATAGCTCTGGGCACTGGAATGGTCAGGCTCTGTTGAGGGCTCTCTTCTTGGCTTGCAGACTGCCCCCTTCTCACTGTGTCCAAAAGTGATGGGGAGAAGGAGAGAAAAAGCTCTCTAGCAGCTCTTTTGAGATGGGCGCTAAAACCATCATGAGGGCTTCACCCTCATAACTTCTTCTAAACCTAATTACCTTCTTAAAACCCCACCTCTAAATATCATCACATTGGCAGTTAGGGCTTCAACATATGAAGGGGCGGGGGAGTAGGACACAATTCCGTCCATAGCACTATGAGTTGTCTCAAACTTCTGATGTCCAAAGCTGACCTCCTGGTCATCCCCCAAACCGTGCTACACAGTCCTCCCTCTCTCAGTAAATGACAGCTGCATCTTGGACTCAACCTTGGACTCAACTTGGACTCCTGACAGCAAATCCTCTTGGCTCTTCATTCAATATATATCCAGATCCAATCTCTTCTCACCACCTTCATTACTACCACTCAAGTCCAGGCGACTACCTTCTTTTTCTTGGAATATCATTATATAGTCTCTAATCTAGTTTTCCCTCTCCTACCCTAGTCTGCCTACAGCCTGTTATCCATAGACACTGAGAGTGAGGCTTTTAAAACATAAGGCAGAGCATTGCATGATTTTGCTCAAAATCCTCCATGGCTGTCACTTCACTGAGAGTAAACGTCAAGGTCTCTATAATCACCAAGAAGGCCCACCATGACTGGCTCCCTGACACCTCTCTAACCTTATCTCCTATGTCTCTCCCCGTCACTCACTCTACTCTGATCACACTGGTGTCTTGGCTATTCTTTCAGGCCTCCAGGCACCCCATGTCAGGGCCTTCGCTCCCGCAGGCCCCCAGATATCCACATGGCCCCTGCCTCAACTCCTTTGGTTTTTGCTCAACGTCACTTCTCCATGAGGCCCAGACCACCCCATCTCAGCCCCTTAGCACTCCTTATTTTCCTTACTTGGGCTTATTTTTCTTCACAGCATTTCTTACTTTTGAATATAGTATTTATTTATTATGTTTATCATCTGTCCCCCTCCAACCCCAACCCCACTGACATTGTCAGGAAGAATTTCAACAAGGATTGGAAAACAGGCAAGCAAAAGAACGATCAAGCAGCAGCCAGGATTTTCACCACAGTCCCTTCCATTGAACCCTGGATGTGCCACCTGCACAGCTGGCATCTGGCCTTGACTGCTGCTGTTGGCTCTGCTGGCCCTGGAAACTCAGTGTTGCCACAGTGTATGGCCAGAAGCGGAATTTTCAAGACCCCCTACTTCTTTATATCAATAGGCCCTGACCAAAGCAGCTGCACTGATGGCTGAGCCTAGGCCCTAGCAACAAGAGAAGTGAGGAAAGCAGGTATTAGGTACAATAAATGCCCATCAGAAAGGGAGTTCAATAATAAGCAGTCAAAAAAAGGATAAATGTCTACTATATTGGGGTATATTGGGCCATTAATAAAGGACCCAAAAAGTCCTAAAAAGTAGGGATTGTCGTAAGATTACTTTATCATAATGTAATAAAACATAGCTGTTTTGTTAAACAGACCAAGTTCAATAGGCTATAAGTAGAAAATAGGCTTATTCTTTCCCCTGCTGTTCTGTATAGTTTATTACTTCCTCAATCCCTGGACGAAATTTTAGGTGTGTCCCATAACTTTTCCAGTCATCATTGGATAACACAAATAATTCATCAGTCATTTTCAATGTGTGCTAGGAAAAGACATATGAAACTTCTAAATACTCCTAATTTATAATTTTTCATATAAATGGAGCAAAAGTCCTATTTAAGCTCACTTGAAGGAGCAGGTTACAAAGAGAAACATAACTTTGTTTTAGAGTGTCATATAGAGCTTTTTAAAAATCAGCTTTGCTGAGAAATAATAATTTACATACAATAAAATTTAGCAATTTTATTTCTACAATCTAGTTTCACTGAAATTTTTTTGAGATAATTGTAATTAAATTACAATTATCACTGAAAAATTTCACTGAAATTTTTTTGAGATAATTGTAAAAATTGTCTTACACATGCAGTTGTAAGAAATATTACAGAGAGATCCTATATACCCTTAACCAGTTTTCCCCTAGTTGTAGCACTAATGATCCACTAATGATTGTGATAATACAACATCATAACCTGGATATTGACATTGATAACACCCCACTGATCTTGTGTAGTTTTCCCTGATACTCACTTGTATGTGTATATTTAGTTCTATACAATGTCATCACATGTGTAGGTTGGTGTATTTATACCATAGTCAAGATACTGAAGAGTTCTATCGCTACAAGGACCCCTCATGCTGTCCTTTTATAACTACACCCATACTCCCCCCAGCATACACACACTGAGTTTTCACAAATGTACACAGTTATATAATCATCTTCACAACTTTAATAAAAATATTTCTAACCCAGAAAGTTCCCTTACACCCTTTGCAATCAATTTACTCTCTCTCATTCTGCACCCTAGGCAACCACTGATCTGCCTTCTATAACTGTAGTTTTACCTTTTCTAGAATTTCATGTAAATTTAGTCAACATAATGCTTTTGACATTCACTCACGTTGTTGCAAGTATCAGTAGTTCATTCCTTTTATTGCTGAATAATAAAAAGAATGGATATATCACATCTTACGTATCTCTTCATCAGTTCACAGATGTTTAGCTTATTTTTAGCTCTTCGTCATTATGAACAAAGCTATAAATATTCAAGTCCTCTTGTGAACATGATTTCATTTCTCTTGGCCCAGTAGTATGATTGCTCTATGGTAAGCATATATTTCATTGTGGATAGTTTCTAAGGCTATAGCTTCAAGTTCACTGATTTTTCCTTCTTCAGAATCTAATCTCATATTACTACCATCTGTGTGTATGTGTTTCATTTCAGATATTATATTTTTCACTTCAAGAAATTCCATTTGGAGCTTAAATTTTACAAACTTCCATTTCACTCTTCATCCTGGTCATTTTCCTCTACCTTCTTGACCCTGTGAGTCATAATAGCTGTTTTAATGTTCTTGTCTTCTAATTCTATAATTTCTATTACTTATTGGTTTGTTTCTACTAATTAGTTTTCCATCCGGTTGTAACCCACATTTTCCTATTTCTGTGCTTGCTGCCCAAGGGAGCACTTCGGTGCTGGATATTGCAAATTTTACCTTGTTGGTTGCTGAATTTTATTATATCCCTTTAAATACCATTGGACTTTGTTCTGGAGCATGAATCAATTGTATCCTTTTGAGGGTGACAGAGCAGCTTTTAGGGTAGGGTTAATTTGGCCTCACTAATAAGGCTGAGAATCCTACTCAGTATCCCGCGTGGTAGGAGGTCTTTCCACTTGAGTTGGGGAGAACATGAAAAATTCTCAGCTCTGTGTGAGCTCCAGGAACTATTCTGGAGACTCCTTGGCTGGAAACAGACATATTTGTTTAGGATTTTAAAGCACCACATTAAATGCAGAAACTGTAAAGTAAAAGAGTGATACATTTGACAACATAAAAATCTAAAACCTCTTCCTTGGGTTTCCTCTAGAATTCACTTCACTTCAGCTGTTGTTTCTAATTGATTTGAGGCCGGTTGGTAGAAGGAGAGTAACTGTGGGTGCAGAGGAGGCCCAGGGCCTGGGTCTGGGGCCAGGTCTGCCTCTCACTGTGTGACTTCAGTCCCCTCTGAACTTCAGTCTTCTGACCTGGAAAATAGGGGACTGGATAAGCTGTTCCCGGAAGTACTTCCAGTCCTGATACAGCCCACCCACCAACCAGGTAGTATCCATTTCTTGCTCATCTCTTTGCCTCCGTGATATCCAACTCTCAGGGACTGCACTCCACCCCAAAGCAGCCTTCTTAGTCCTTTTTCCCTTTTTAAATATAATTTAGTTTTTATTTGATTTATGGACTCAGTCCCAGTCACTAAACTTCATTCAGCTTGGATGCCTTATTGATTTTCAATAACAGTAGAGCAGAAAAATAAAGAGATGACAGCAGCACTTGGCTGCAGACCCAGGGCCGGCCATGGGAGGCAGGAATTAATCATCTCAGGGGTGATCACTCAGGCTGTCCCTGGCAGGGCAGCAACTCAGGGAGCTCAGCCAGCCTGGGACAGCGCAGCAAGCCACGCGATGATCGTCTGCTTGTGACAACAAGAGCTCAGCAGACTGTCCCATCTGGGTTCTAATCCCAGCATTACTGGAGGTAAGTATTTGCTCACCTCTAGAGACAAGGAGCTAGAGGGAAGCTGCACTATTTGGATCGACAGGGAGGAGGAGATGGCCATGTACAAAAGTGCCAACATTAAGTAAGTAAATGCAAAGACAAACTGGTGATAAAAGATGAAAGGGATGTCGAGGTCCTGGCTATGTATGTTGATTTCAGCATGGCTTCTCCTGGCTGCCTGCAGCAGCTAAAATCAGTTAAGACTGATCTATGGCTTCCCTAAAGAAGTGCACCAAGCTTTCTTTGGCCTCTCAGGTTCCAATTTGGCGTGGCCAGATCCTGACTGTGTGACTTTGGGCTGGTCACCTTATTGCCCTAATGTTTTACTACAAATGCATTTAAGGAGATGTCAAGGGGATTTTCAAAAGGAATTAATGCACTTCAGTATGGCTTCTCCTGGCTGCCTGCAGCAGGTAGAAACAGCAAGACTGATCTATGACTTCCCTAAAGAAGTGCACCAAGCTTTCTTTGGCCTCTAGACCTTTGCATGTGTTGTTCTCTAGATGATAATCCAGCCCTCCCTTTGCCTGGCCAATTCTTGCTTCTCCTTCAGGTCTCAGCTTACTTGTTGCCTCCTCTGGGAAGCCTTTCCTGATTCCCCCGCCCCACACTACCTCTGGCTAGGTACCCCTACCCTGTGCTCTCGCAGGTTCCTATGCTGACCCTGTTATGACATTCATCACACTGCATTACAAGGGTTACATCAACAGTGTAATAGCTCATTGTTACAGCAATAACAATGGTCTGTTTTCTTAACTGCTGCCCCTTCTTAATTCCCACTCTGCCAGGGCAGGGACTGTGCCTACTTTGTTCACTCAGCATGTGGTATATAAGAGGTAGTCAACAAATATTTGCTGAATAGATGATAGTTGAAAAGAATGATTTTCAACATTATTCGGTGATTAAAAAAATACTTATGGAGCACCAGCTCCACACCTCCTGTAAGTAGGTATTGAAGTCATTAATTCCCTTTTAAAATCCCCTTGACATCTCCTTAAATGTGTGTGTAATAAAACACCAGAGCAATAAGGTAACCAGCCCAAAGTCACACAGCCGGGATCCGGCCAGGCCAAATTGGAACCTGAGTCTGCAAATTCCTAATCCCAGTTCTGCCTCTTTCCTACCAGTGGAACTTGGCTGGTCTCTTCTATCCCAAAGACCCCACAGTTTTCTTTTCTTCATGACGAGAGGGTCATGCCAGATCAGTTCTTGACCTTTGAGAATTGATGAAAGCAATGAACTGTAACCCCTTTGTGTGTGCTGGAAATGCACACATGCACAGAAACGTTTACACATAATTTCATGGGTTCACAGACCCCATAAAACCCAGCCACAGATTAAGAGGCCCTAAACTCCCCAAAGGCCTTGCCAGCTCTCATAGTCTCTGGATGGTTTATGTTTCACCCACTGACACTGGTTTTATGAAGTGGCAAAATTTTTTCCACTCATTTTTCAAAGTCTCAGCCTCACCTCCTCTCCCCAGCCCAGTTGGAAGCAGTTTCTCCCTGCAGTGAAACCCTATTAGCCCCCAGACCCCAGAGCCCTGCCAGAATGTGGCTGTCACACTGAGTCCCAGTCCTGATTTATTCTCCATGGTGTCTCTCTGGATGAGAAGTTATGCATAACAGCAGGACTCAGCCCCTGATAGAAGAAATGGCCAAGTTCAATCCTTAACAAATAAAAGCACTGCCGTTCAGTAATTCCCAGGGTTGATGGAAAATGTGATTTCCTTGCCACAGCAAATGTGGAAGGCGGGAGATGTAAAGATGCTCCCACTTTGGTCTATGGAAGAAACCGTAACAACATAAATCAGTGAGATAGATAACCTTCTCCTCTATTCATTATCTGGGCAGGCCAGAGCTAATGTGTTTGTTTTTTAAATCCTCTGTTGTCAGCCACCCTTCCCCCTCAAGGATGCCTGCACTTTTCTGAAACCCACGAGGAGCATTGCAGCAAAGAAATAGAACTTTCAGTTTCTGGAGATTATACTGATTCTCCAGGATCTTAAAGGTTAGGCTGAGAACTTTATCCTGTGGGTCAGTGAGTTTTATCTAGGGGCATCTAGGTGCAGACCCCTGATGAAGCAGCTGCTGAGGGTGTTAGAACCAGGGTCTCATGCTAGAAAGATCATTCTGGCTCTGGATGGGAGCCCATCAGAGGGGCCAAGAGGGATAGGGGTACAGGCAGGTAGGGGGCTGTGGGAGAAGCCTGATGCAGTCAGGGGAGAGGGTTGAGAAGTCTAGGGAGATGTCTCCTCTTGTTCCCTATTGTTTCCACAATGGGGATGGCAGTGTGCTCACTAAAACTAGATGCAGATAAGACACTGCCCCTCTGAAGGTAGGAGCGTCCAAGGAGATGAAAGGGGAAGCAGTTGGGCGGAGCTTCTTGGAAGACGCTTTAGAAGAGGCTTCTAAACCAGTGGTGTCTTTTTGCCCTTCTCCATGTCTTTTTTCTTCCTGTCTAGAATGCAGATGAGATGGCCAGTGCTACAGCTGCCTTCTTGCAACCACAAGGGAAAGGCTAAGAGAACCAGAGACTTCAGCTAGGACATGCTTAAGCTGCTGAGTCAATGCAAGACACTGCCTGCTTCTAGACTCATTATGTGAGAAAAATCCCTGCAGGGCATCAAGTGGAGAAGTTACGTAGGTAGGTGGATTAATACATCTGGCACTCTGGAGAGTCATCACATGGGGTTAATGGAAGACACGAGGGTGGGCAAGATGGTGCAGGGAGTGGATAGATTAGATAGATAGATAGATAGATAGATAGATAGATAGATAGATAGATAGATGATAGATGATAAATAGATGAATAGACAGATGTTGATTGATTGATAGACGAATGGATAGACAGGTGATAGAGATGAATGAATGAATAAATGAATAGATAGATAATAAATGAATGGGTAGGTAAATAATAGATAGACATAGATAATATAGATGGATGATAGCTGATATAGATACTAGATGATGGATGAACGGATAGATTATATAGACAGATAATAGATGGATGAATATATGATAGATGATATTGATAGATGATAGAAGATATTGATAGAGGATAAATGATAGAGAAAGTGAGAGAGAGAGAGGATAGATAGAAAAGAAGATGGTCCTGGAGAACACCAATCTTCAAGGAATAGGCTGAGGAAAACGTGTCTGCAGAGATAAAACAGCCAGAAAAAGAGAGTACATTTGGATACTGTGGAGTCCCAGGAGCAAGGGAGGATATGGACTCTGGTAGTGGTGAGTGGTCAACAGTACAAATGACAGAGAGGGCCAGAGGCTGACACCAGAGAAAGGGACTTGGCAGTGATCCCAACAAGGACTAAAGGGAGAGCCCTGATAATTCCACCCTGAAATGTCAGTGCTGGTCTGTCCAAGGGTTCTACTGTACCCTCCAGGCCCTCTCTGTGGGGCTGTGGGCACAGGATGGTGGCTACCAGAAGTCCACATAGAGAACAAGAAAATGCAGAGGGAATACTTCCTTACCCCACTGCCTTGACTGGGATCTTTTTGGACATGGTTACTGTGACATGCTTCTCCCTGTTTCCAGCCTATGTTCAGATGTGCTTGTTGACCTTGTTAGATTTGATTCTTCTTTGCTCAGAGGGTGTGTGGCTTGGGTGTTCAACACCAGCTCTGTCCCAGTGCTCTGTGGGGCTTTAGGCAACTGGTTCAGCAAGTTGAAGGCAGAGCTCAGGCCTTCTGATTCCAAATTCTTCAGACCACCAAACCCACGTGTGGAATATTTCCTAAGTCTGGGTTTTAACGAGCACATCAAAATTGGCATGCCGCCGACAGTTTGCTGGCTTGGAGAGGGAACCAGGATATTTTTTGCAAATTGGGTACTCTATCATGTAGAAAAACTTCTTTTCAGGAGGTAAAACATCTGGAGTTACATAGCATGAAAGGAGACTAAAAGGCCAGGTTACATACTCAACACACAGCTCTCTGGGTTTTAACGATGCTCAAAGATTTGAAATGTTCAGCAAATCTGTTTGTTGCTGCTCTGACTTTCGATGTTTCCCTGGGGAGATGCTGCTGGTTTTTTCTGTCTCGTTTAACCCAGTAGGATTCCTGGGGATGGATGCATCTTCTGAAGCTTGAAAAAAACTCTCCAGGAAAGCTCCAGATCTCAGCATCGAAGTCACAAAAAAATGCTTCTAAAAATAGAGAAAACCTGGCAAGGACAAGGGCCTTGGCCTACTCAACCCAGCCACACAGGCAGCCTTTTTCTTGATACCAAGCCTGAAGTTGTCTGGAAAGAGCAGCCCAGATTGGAGAGTATTTGGGACTTCTGCTCAAGGGCATAACTGCAGTCAAGAAATCTGGCAATGAGTGAAAGACTGAAAAAAGAACAGAAATATGGTAAAGGGGAATATTGCAAAGCTCTGAATGCTTGGGTAGGATTTGACCAGAGACTTACAAAGGACTGGTCCCCACTCTTACAGTCAGGAAGTCCAACTCCAGTTCCAACTTGCCACTGACTCTCTGGATGTTTAGCAAGTCTCTCTCCCTCTCTGGGCTTCAGTTTTCCCATCTATAAAACAGGGATGGTAAATCCCAAAGCCCTATCTGCTTCCAGAATTGCTGGATGATAATAGATTTAAAGCTGTACAGATGTGAGACATTGCACATATAAAATAACCCAATTCTCCAGTGAAGAGTGCCAGCTAAGCCCATCCAGACAGCCCGAGGGGCTCTATGGGCAGCTGTGGAAGAAGGCTCTTCCATGTAGAAACATGTGTGTTCCTCTGGAAATGACCCTCCTTATTGGACCCATTTAAGCGAGTGTTCACAATGATTCTGGTGGGTTATTCCTCAGTGTCTGAAGTTCAGCTGGGAATTGGCCTTGTCCCCCATCTAATCACCAAAGGGTTGAGCCTCAGAAGTCTAAGGTAGATACCTACCTTTCTTCAGCTCCAGGGGGTACAGTTGAGGCTTGTGTTTGGTGTGATTAAATACAATAAAATGAGAAAGGAGACTTGTTGGCAGGCTTGTGTTCAGAGTTAGAGAAATTGACTTTGTCTTCAGAGTCTCTCAACCAAGTAGTCTTAGGAGACTCTGTGTGCAGGGGACAAACCCATTTCATGTGTTTAAGAAACATCTTGCCTGTTGGGAACTTCTGAACCTTGTATGTGAGTGTATGCACATGTGTGCATGTGTGAGTGTGCATATGTGGGTGTGCATGCATTACATAGCTATATGTTCATGCAGGATGTATGTATATGTGCATGGGCTATGTAGGGGTATAGTGCACATGTGTGCATGTGTGTGCATTTGTATGTATGCACGTCCATGCACGTGTATGAACATGCATGTTTGTGTGTGCATGTGTGTGTCCACATGTGTTTCTGTGGGCCTCTGTGCAGGCATGTATGTTTATGTGTGTGCACGTGTATATACTCGCCCTCTCTCCTGAGCAGGGAGGCTTGCTCAGTTGCATTGTGTCAGAGGGTGATTTAATAAGCCCTGGGTCCCCTTGTCCAACATGATGAGCTATGGAAATGGCAAAGCCTTTCCAAACCTGAAAGACAGATGAGTTCATTTTCAGGTTTTGCCATGAATCGGTGGTCCCTGGAATGGCTAATGGCTCAGAGAGGCAGCATTTGCACCCAGCAGAGCCAGAGCAGCTATGGGATTACTGGATGAGGGGTGATTTAGGATAGTTATTTAGGAACATCTACCATTTTCCAATAATGGTTGAGAAATTGCCTCTCCTGAGAAGAGAAATTTCAAGAGGGCGTGGAACAGCAATGGGGAGGATAGAGAAAATGCAGACTCCTCTAGTCTGAGCAGCACAGCTGCAGGCGTCCAGAAAGCCTGGTGTCCCAGAGCCCTCTAGGCAGATTGGCTCCATCGATTGCCTGGCAGCCCTCCCCCTGCACCCCGATCTGTGCACATGCTCATCTCCCAGAACCTCCCCCTGGGGCACCCCCCAACATCTATCTGATGAAATTAGTATTTGAAATACAATAAAGTGATTAGTTCACTTGACTGTGACAAACATATTTAATCTTGGCCGATCAATAGTGTCAGAAAACCAGCACCATTAGTTAAATTATTCTCTGGACTCAGAAAAACAAACAGCCTAATTGAAGAAGTCAAACTCCCAAGGCCTTCATTTCAGCCCAGACACTTCCTACCTTGTGCTTTTGGCAGGCTCTGATTTAAACATTTGCCATACCCACTTTCTGTGCAGCCATCACCCCTGGGACCCTCCCTGGGTCTCCGTTTCCCCACCTGTCAGTATAGTGCAGAGATTAAGAGGAGAGACTCTGGTGTTCAACCAATTCAAATCAGCTTTACTCACTGGCTGACTGTGGGCAAGTGACTCAACTTCTCTATGCCTCAGTTTCTTCATCTATAAAATGGGGATGTTGATTCTAGTGTCTGGTTCCTTGGGAGGTACAGGGAAAGAGGCCTGGCCTGGGTTCTTTTTGGGCCACAGTATGACCACTTTGACCCCTTCCCTCTCTCAGGCTCCCCATCTATAAATAAGGAAGTGAGATGGAGCATCGTAAAGGCTCCTGCAGCCCTGATGTTCCATGAGCCTCTGAGCCAAATGTCCTTGTTGACGTGCATGGGAGTTACTACAAGTGAGCTGGGGTAGGAAGGCTAAGTGATCTCAATAACCCAATGGAGGTCTCTTTTTTATTTTGTTTTGTTTTATTTTGAGATAGAGTCTTGCTCTGTCACCCAGACTGCAGTGCAGTGGTGAGATCTTGGCTCACTGCAACCTCCACCTCCCAGGCTCAAGCAATTCCCATGCCTCAGCCTCCTAAGTAGATGGGATTACAGGCGTGCGCCACCATGCCCAGCTAATTTTGTATTTTTAGTAGAGATGGGGTTTCTCTATGTTGGCCAGACTGGTCTTGAACTCCTGACCTCAAGTGATCTGCCCACCTCGCCTCCCAAAGTGCTGGGATTACAGGCGTGAGCCACCACCCCCGGCACAGAGGTTGTCTTTGAGGCAACATAACTGGTGGTTTTGGACTTAGCAGGGTAAAAAGGTAGTGCTAGTAACACAGGGAACCATGCCTTCTGGCTATGAAATAAAGTCAATTCCACTTCATCTCAGCCCATGAAGCCCCAAAGGCCTGATATCCACAATGGGTCTGTTGGTGCCAGAGAAAGGAAGTGCCTCCCTCGCTCCTTTGTCCAGCATTTGCTAGGTGTCGTCTGTGTCTGACCTTGTACTGGGAGTAGAGGCACAGGGAAGGGCCAACCATTACCCTCCAGGGTCTCACAGACTCATGAAGAACCAACTCTAATATGAGGCTGTGTTAGTTTCCTGTGCCTGCTGCAACAAATTATCACCAACTTAGTGACGGAAAACAACACAAATGTATTATCTTACAGTTCTGTGGGTCAGAAGTGCAATGTGGGTCTCAGTAGGCTAAAGTCAAGGTGTCAGCAGGGCTGTGGCCCTTTCTGGAGGCTGTATGGAGGAATTCATATACTTGCCTTTCCAGCTTCCAGAGGCTGCCCACATCCCTTGGCTGGTGGCCCCACATCACTCCAATTCCACTCCACTTCCACTTCTAACATCATATCCCCCTCTCTGCCTCTCATACTCCTGCCTCCCTTTTATAAGGACCTTTGTGAGTAATTGGGCCCATCCAGATAATTCAGGATAATCATCCCATCACAATTTTCTGAACTTAATGACATCTGCAGAATCCCTTTTGCCATGTAAGGCAATATATTCCCAGGTTTCTGGGATTAGGACATGGGCATCTTAGGGAAGTGGCATTATTCTACCTACTACAGACACCACATTCCCAAAGCTGGGGGGAAAAAAACACAGGGATTCACTTTCCTCAATAAGGTGCCACCGGAAATGGTCTCGGAAGCATGAGTAGGATTCAGGCTTTTGGAAAAAGGAGGAGAACACTCCAGACAACAGGAACAGTAGGAAAAAAGGCCTGGTGGTTCCAGGGGGCATAGAATGTTTGGAGAACATCATATCTGGAAATAAGCAGCTGAAACAGCAGAGAGGCAGAGGCCAGGACACTGAAGGCCTTGTATGCTACGCTTTGGGGATGGGAAACCATGGAAGGGTTTCAAATGGAGCAGTTAGATCAGACCTGAATTTCATGAAGGTTATTCTGGCTATAAGATAGGGGATTGATAGGAGGGGGTAAGGTCAGAAACACCAATAAGAAGGCCGCTATGGAGGTCCCGATAAGAGGATGAAGCCTGAACTAAGTAATTAATTGGCAGGGACAGAATTATCGGAGGCAGGAAGTGTGGTACTCAGGACCTGGGATGATTGGATATGGGGTGTGAAAGAGAGGAGAAGGCTTGGACTACTTGCGGGCCTCTGGCTTGGGTGCGTGGCTGGAGAGCAGAGCCGGAGCCTGTAACTGAGAGAAGAGTCTTGTCTCCAAGTCCTTTCTTCAGGATGGCCACAGTCTCAGGCGCTGTAAGTGTGCCTGCATGCTTCCGTGCTTGTGTGCTTGTGTACTGCTGTCCCCGCCGTGACTGGGGCGAGGCCCGGCTGTCCTGCTCCAGGAATGGCTGCTGTTCCCCTGCAGAGCAGAACACGGATACTCAGGGGCCTCTGTCTGCTGGCATGCTGCCTGGGCTCCAGAGGCATTTCCACATGCTGTAGACCAGGGCCCACTCCTTCTCTGAGAGGGGCATGATCCGTACTCTCTCCATGACTGATTGTTGTTTGAGGAAAATCCACCTGCTTCCAATTACTCTGCAGGTCAGGCTGATAAAATGTTGGACTGAAGGTAATTTCCAATGAAGAAAATGTGTTGGCTTGGAGTGTTATTTAAAGAGAACCATCCATTGCACAAACACCTCCTGAGAGGAACTCCGTGGGGAAAGGGGCTTGAGCCCCTAGCCCTGGCTCCGGTTCCCCAGCCTGGGGGATTTCCCAGGCCCAATTGGAAAAGACTGCAGGAGTCACCTGAGCTCCATCCCTCCCTTCCATCCATTCCATTCAACAAGAAACAGCACCGTGGTGGTCAAGCCATAAGCTTTGGGATCTCATAGCCACAGTTTCTGAATCCCAGTTCTACCAATGACTGCCCATCAACATTACCCTCATTGGAGTATCAGAGGAAAGCACTAAACCTTTGCCCTTTTGTACTTAGGACTTCTCCTGGACATTTCTTACCCTTCAAGTTTCCTCCTTAATAGGAATATATGTGGGGGATGGGGAAAGAGCAATTAACACCTTTCCAGTCCTTGAGTGACCGGCCTGCCCCCTGCCAATTACTGCATCAGGACCCACCTGCTCTTGAAAGGGCTGACCAATTATCAGAAATAAGTGTGAAAGCTAGTCTGCAGCCTGGAGCCTCATTACCTGCCTCTCCATCAGCCTAGAGGGGAGGGGGAGCCCCAGTCTCCACTCCCTGCAGTGGGAATGGGAGAATCAAGGAAAGATGATGAATTTTCTGAGAGCTCTTCCACCTTCAAGAAGGAAGGGGGCTCACTCTGCACTGCCATTATAATGAAGCAGAGTCTTGTGCATTTTTAAAAAATTATATATGCATGTTTCTGGAAAATAATGCATTTAGGTATTTGCCTGTATTTCCTCTAACTGTATTCTCCCTCTCAGTTCCAAGTAAGAACCCAGCCTTTTCTCTCCTTGACTTGGGAGGAGACGCTTGCAGGCATCAGTGCATCAGTTACTTCTTGGCTTTTGCTTTACCAAAAGCCTGAGCTGCTTGAGGGTTCTGTGCAAGAGAGGAAGGGAGACAGAACTGGCCTGTGAGAGAGGAGATTCGCCATGGCTGGGAGCAGGACCCACTCCTCGGCAGTCCTCAGAGGGGAGTGGCTGGGTGTCCCCAAGGAGACTGGGTTCTGCCTCCACAGCATCCAGGCTCAGCAAAAATTCCTGGGCACCACAGATGGCATAGAGGCCTCAGGGCTGCTGGCAGTGACCACATGCAGGTCAGGAGGGGCAGCTGCCAGACAGAGGGCTGGGAGCCATTCTCCCCTTTCCCCTGCACCCTGTGGGCCTGGGGAGGGTGAGATGCCTCTTTCAGTTTCTGAAATGACTGAGCTTGAGTGTGTACCCCCATCCTGACAGGGGTAGGGGAGGGGATGGAGGCTGTGAGTTTAATTTAGAGAAAATAGAGTAACATGATTTGTCTTGCACATTCACATTTTTAAAAGAAGATATAGGGTGTGAAGGTTAGCAGAAGAATAGGCCATTCCAGGACTCTGGTTTGGGTCACTGGAAGCCAATATGAAAATGACTAGAAAGAAATTCACTAAATGTTAACAGTAGTTTTCCCTGGGTAGAGGAATTATGGGTGATTGATATTCTGTTCTTTTGTACTTGATATTCTGTAAATTTTTTCTAACAGGACATTTTACTTCAGTAATAAGAAAAATAACCAGAATTTACGTACACCCCCACCCCACCACCTTCAGTGGCCACTCATTACCTGCAGGCTAAAATGGAAATCCCTTGGCATAGCTTTCAAGGGTTTTCCTGCTCCCTGAATCTACCCTCCATTTGTGCCATTGGGCCCTCCCTGTGCTCCGCCTCCCCTTCCCATGCCTGGCCATTCATCCCTCAAGACTCAACTCTGAAATGCCCTCCCCCAAAGAAATGTCTCCTCCTTGCCCACTTCCAATGTGGCTCTTAGTACCCTGTGTTTTAATGCCTATGTCCAGCCACGTCTGTCCCCCCCAACCAGTCTGAGGAGGGCAGGGACCAAGTCTGATGCATTTCTCTTCCCAGTGTAGCTCAGGACTGGGCACACAGTCAGTGCCTATTGAATGTTTGCTGAGTGAATTGTAGAGGACCTGGGCTCTTTCCCTCCTCAAGCAGGGTGATGTGGGCAGTTTCCCCCAACACATGCCTGCAGGTGGCAAGATTTCAGTGGGGCCAGGCCAGGCCAGCTCATCTCTGGGTATTGTCTTGCCTGACTGCTGCCTGTGCTTGCTGATGGGCAGATAGGAAGGGGGAGCCCCATGAGTCAGGCTGCGCTGGTCTTCAAGCAGGTTATTCATGTTCTTCAGAGATGGTCACTGCCATGCACCAAACCCCTGAGCAAGCCATGCAGTTCCAAGGCACTCAGCTTCCCATCCTCAGCTTTGCCTTTCATTTGAACCCTCCCACACCTGGGGATCCTCCACACTAAGGAAGGTGAGGCTGGCAGTGGCAAGGGCCCACAATGCATGCCACACAGGCTCACTCAAAACAGCCTGGAAAGGAGACTCTCCTTTGCAGAGCGAGCCTCTTAACAGTTGCCCCACTCCTTATAGATCTCGCCTGGACATGACCTCATTGGGAGACAATGCTCCACGGATTTCTCATGTTTCCACACATCTTACAAGTGGAGGCACTGATAGCTTTCTTTCCAGACTATCTTTTCATGGGTGTTTGTAGAGTGAGCAGCCACCCTGGAAGACAGAGATCATTTTTCCCTCCAAAGCAGAAGGCAGATTTATTTGCTGTCCTGTATAATAAAAATAATGTCTCACCTCTGAGGCAAAGATAGCTTTGCTTATAGGTCATAATGAAAGATTTGGATTTCCTAAACTTGGAGTTCCTAATTTTGACACACACCCACTATGCATACCACATCCACCAGGCTGCTCAGCATCATCCCCCCACGGGCCTTGGGGAGCAAGGAGAACTGATATAAATATGAAGCCCATGCTGCTTGCAACACCATGAGTAATAAAGTCTTTTGTCTCTGGCCCTGGAGTCTCATGTCTTCTGCCAGCATCCATGAAACTGTAGCAGGGTGGCTGGTAGCTTGCAAGTGAGGAAAAATTTCAGACCCTCCGCAGCTCTTGATGGGAATAAATTCAAAGTAAAGATTGAATTTTATAAAATTAGGTTCCAAGTTTTTTGGAGTTTTATAAAACCAAGAATAGGTGTGCAATTTGTTGAACAGCTACTGGGATCCAGCCCTTTACATACATAATTTCACTGAATCCTCCCTATAGCCCTGTGATGTATGTGTGATAACACCCATTTTACAGATGAGGAAACTGATGCTCAGCTAGGTGAGGGGACTTGCCCAGGATGAACTGCATTAGAAGCCCAAGATATTCTCCCTTGGCTCTTGTGCCTCCCTCTCAGAAGATCCCAGCAATGCAGAGAGCTCTGAGCAGCCATGGGAAGCCCATTCTAGGAGGCAATGGGTGTTTCTATAGCAACCAGCTTCCCAAAAAGTCCACACCAATGCAACAAGCCTCAGCCCTAACTCTGAGGCCTCTAGGCTGCATTCTTGTGGGCCATCCTCAGAGAAGGATTCTGCTGGCCTGTAGAATTGAGGCAGAGAACGCTAGGGGAGATTTCAATCTTGGCAACCATTGGCATTGAAAAGTGCTAGAAAGCATGTATCCTTTTGAAATGGTTATCCAACCCGTGGCCCACATGCAGCCCAGGGTGGCTTTGAATGCAGCCCAACCCAAATTCGTAAACTTTCTTAAAACATTGTAAGAATTTTTTGTGTTGTTTGTTTTGTTTTGTTTTGTATTTAGCTCATCAGCTATCGTGTTAGTGTATTTTTATGTGGCCCAAGACAATTCTTCGTCTTTCAATATGGCCCAGGGAAGTCAAAAGATTGTACACCCCTAGATTAGACATGTCCGTAATGCAGTCAAGCAGCAAATATGAATCAAAGACCTAGTATATGCCAGTCATTGTTCTAGGTATTAGGCATACAGCAGTGAAGAGGACAGAAAATTTTTGTGCTCTTATAGTGCTTCATCTTAGAAAGGTAAATGCATAATTTAGTAAATGCTAGTGATAAGTGCTACCAGCAAAAACAAACAAAAATTAGCCTGGCATGGTGGCATGCACTTGTTGTTTCAGTTACTCCAGAGGCTGAAAGGTAGGAAGATTTGCTTGAGCCTGGGAGGTCCAGGTTACAGTGAGCCATGATCATGCCTCTGCACTCCAGCCTGGGTGACAGAACGAGACCCTCTCTCAAACAAAAAAAATAAAAATCACAAAAAACAAACAAGGTGAGGAGAATGAAGAAGGGTAATAGGGGAGGTCAAGGAAGATTTCTCTGAAGAGAAGACATTTGAGCTTTCATCTGATGGGCAGAAGAAGTAAGCCAGATACATATGCAGGGGAAGAGCCTTCCAGACACAGAGGACAGCAGGTGCAAAGGCCCTGGGGCAGGACGTGCTGGCCTGTTCAAGGAACACTGAGATGGCTGGGTGGCTGGAGGGGAGTAACCAGGGTGAGCCTGTTAGGAGATGAGGTTGGACTAGGAGATATAACAGGAAGATTCCTCCTACTGAGGCCAGACAGATCTGCGTTTCTATCCTAAGACCTGCCACTTTTTGCCTGCAAATTTGGATGGCCTCACTTGCAATGTGTGGCCAGCGACACCTTCCCCAGTGTGATAATGTGTTTAAAACATGATGTCCTGGGCTTAGCAGTGGCTACTGTCATTATTATGTTTATTACTGTTTAATCTCAATGTCTTCTCCTCACTTTCCTCCCATTCCTGCACCACTAGAATTGGATGCTGTTGCTGCAGCAGCTTTGGGCCTGTGAGCCAGGGTGCCAGTGGGGTGGAGGGTTGAGCCTTTACCAGTAATTACCGCTCCTGGGAAGCCCTCTTGGCTCAGCTCCACACTCAGCGTGGCGAGGACGACAGCCACTTGTCAGAAGCCTCCCAGAGAGACCACCTGCAAATGAGAGCAGCCCCAACCGGGGAGCCGTGCTGAAGGGGGAAGGGCAGTGCGAGTCCCTTTGTCATTAGGCAGCCAGCGCTGGAGGGATCACTCCAGCTTAAATTAAGGATTTAATGAGATGAGGCCAAATTAGATGCAATTAAAAAGACACTTTAGAGCTGGCAGACGACCAAGAGAGGCAGTAATGACTTTTGTAGAAGGGAATCCCACAGGCTGGGGGTGCGGGGCTGGGGAGGGCTTGGTTTTCTACTCCTGGAAACATCCAGGGCTGGGGGATGGGAGGATAAAATAGACTCCCTCATTGTCAAGGCTGATGCCCATGGAGGCATGCACAGCCCTCCGATGTCTGCCCAGGCTTTCCATTTCCAAACTGGGATGTTTGGAGCCCCCAGGGATCCAAAGAAGGCCTTTAGTAACTTCACCAAGCATTGCCTAAATAGATATTCTTTATTTTAAATCTTGAAACAAAAATGCTGTGCAGGCTCCCAAATGCTAGTCCAGGGGGCCCCTGCCAACCTGCGCACTCGTGCTGATGTGCTGATGCAATTCTGCGTGGATCTCAAGACAGAGCTTCTCCGGCCCTGCCTGGGGCCTCCATGTGGATTCTGAGTGGACGCGCCATTGCCTGGGAAGGAGGCTTACGCTGCTTCCCTTGGGTAATTCAGGCCTGGACATGAACTTGCACATCACACTGTCCATGTGAGCCCACTGCAAGGTGACTTGCATGCTGCACTCACTTAACTTTCCAGCACAGCTAGAGACCTGCTCGACACCACAGAAGGGCTGGGCCAAAACCAAGGACTGGGGGCAATGCCCTAAGTCTTGATGTTATCATACTGGAAGAACCCTTCAGTGCTTACTGTAAGTGCTAGGCTCCACTAGTCTGACTTTTGTTCACTTAAATGGACTCCGTTTAGCAATGTAAGGTCACACTGTTACCCTGTTTACAATACTAGATAATGCATTTAGGATAAAATTGAATCCTGAAGCTTAGACTTAACAGGCAAAACAGAACAAATTTGACTGTTCAGAAAGTTTCAGTGAAGAGCTGTCAGACACAGGCACTGAGGCATGAGATTTCCTCAAATGACAACCCTAAACATCCTTCCAGCTACATTTGAAAAGTATTTTTTCTGCCAAACAATGAACATTTAAAGTAAGAAACCTACTCATCATCTCCCTCCCAATGTAATACTCACCATTTAAAAAATAAGAGCAAGACTTAGGTATTGTTAATAATTCAACCTTGAAACAAAATAATTGCCTATTGTTCCTCTTGAAGTTTCTGGATCCATTTAATTGGTGAATATTCTGAGATAGTAAGGTAAAGTGCTTTGAAAATATGTTACCATTTGCCACTACTTTTCAGGGTGGATCAGGATTTTAATAATGTAGAAAAACCAAATCAAAATACTGAAATAAATTGGATATTGATGCTGACACTGAATTGCAACTATTATTTATAATGTCCAACTTCAAATTATTTGGGTTATTGAAATAGTCTCATTATTCTCATTGGTTGACTTTATAATCAGTAGTGCTTATAAATTTGAACTGAAACATAAATTTATAATAATGTCACTCTTGTCAGTTTTATGTAATGGATTTCTACCTATAAATGTGTTTGAATATTACTTATGAAATGATTGGAAACTGCTGACCTAGTCCAACCCAGTCATGGTACAATCGGGAAACAGACCCCAGAGAGGGATGGGGTCTTTTTCAAGGCCACAGAGAGAGTCAGCGGCAGGATTGGACTTAGAGGCTGGATCCCTGACCTCCAGGCCAGGGCTTGGAACAAAATGGGCTGTAAAAAGGCCTTTGGGACTCTGCCCCAACACTGGCACCTGCCTCTGCCTTGCGCAGCCCTCTTCTGTTTCAGTGGGACCCTTGTGCTCTCCCTCCCTCTCCCATCCCTCTCTCTCCACACAGTGACCAAGTTCTTTCCTTCAAAATCCCCGGGCAGATCAGAACGCCAGTCTGAACCCCTTCTCCCTGGAGCCACCAAGTCACAAGGAAGAGCCTGATGCCCCCCTGTTGGGGGAAGGGATGTCTGAGCCAGAGGTGCCAGCCCCCAGCCCCACTTCTGCTCTGTGTGGTAAGTGCTTGAGCACACAGTGGTGTGACACCACACCACGTGCCTGGCTATACTGACTGTGGACTAGGGAGATTGTGAGAATTTAGGGAATCCATCCATGTAAGGCATAGAGAAAGTCGTCAATGGCTGTTAGCCATTATGATCTGTTTTATAATAAAGGATTGATGTAAGCCATCATTTTTTAAAAGCATTTGGCTGCTAAGGAAGTAGAGCAAAAAAATGGCTTAGAAGATAAATGTAGGGCACTTACAGTTCTTTCTCTGCTCTGCCTTCAGCCTTATCCACCCTCCTTCCTATGCCTCATGTGCCAGTGCAGTGGTCTTCTCACTGCCCCTCAGAGTGTGTACCACTTTCTCAGGCCCCCATGCCTTTGCTCAAGCTGCTCCTTCTGCCTGGAAGACCTCTGCTCTCCTCCTGAGGCCTCTGTGTTACGCCCCCTCTTCCCAGAAGCCGTGGCAGGATCCCTCAGTAGCGGCAACTCCAGAATTTCCACAGGAGGGCTTAAGGTCAGTGCCATATTGAAAAGAGCAGGAAGCTTGGTCCTGGGAGACTTGTCTGGAAGCTGTGTTTGCACAACTCACTCACTGGGTTTGCTTAGATTGTGCGTTTATTTGGGGTGGCTTCGTGGGGCTGATGGAGATCACAGGGAACTCAGGCACCTCGCCGCCGCGTTAGAATGAAGCTCTGCTCCTTCTGTATGCACTCGGCGCGTGGCTTGCGCTGTTCTTGTGGCAGAGCTGGTGTTTGGTCCCTAGTGCTTCCTTGCCTGCCCTCTGCCCTCTGCTCAGCCTCTGCCCCCACCAGCCACAAGGCAAGACTAGTTCATAAGCCCCCTCAGAACAGTCACCAGCACCCAGATCCTCTGAACTCATGCCGCCAACTCCCCAGCTCATTTCACAGGAGGGAAAACTGAGACCAACTAACATTAAGGCCCGTGCTTCAGCTACAAAATAGGTGCTTGCAAACACCTTATGTTTGGAGCCAGGAGAAGGGATGTGCCATGGGATCAGAAGTCAATAACAGTTGGATTAATAAATCAAGCAGTAGATAGTGAAATAAAACAAAGTCCAGAACCTATTGAACTAATCAATAACACCTGATTGCCTGCTACAAGCTGAAAATACCAGCCACTGATTACCAAACCCTCAAGCCACTAGACAATTATCATTGTATGCAGTGGCTTTCAAACTCTACCATGTATCCGGCACCTGGGGGCTACAGAATACCCAGAGTGCTGGGCTCCACCACCAGAGTTTCTGATCAGCACATCTGGAGAGGGGCTCAAGAATTTGCATTTCTAACAAGTTCCCAGGTGCTCGTGATACTGCTGGCCCCAGGGAACAGACTCTGAGAACCACTGATCCAATGTTTTATCTTCTCCAACCCCGAAGACTACTGGGTGGCCCAGGTGGCTGCTACAGTGGGACTTGGGATTTCACCTGTAAACCAGAAGTGTAATGATCTCCCCCCAGCCTCACATCCCCAGTGCCGATGGTCCCCACTTAAAACAGGTCGAGCCAGCCTTCCTTTCACTCCAGATCCTGGCCCTTACTGCATGATATTGAAATGGACCATTTAGCATCTTTCTCCCCCTAGTTTCTCCCCTGGCCTAGGAGTTCCTTTCAGGTGGGGACTGCCTCATTCATCTCAGGATTCCCACAGCCTGGAATAGGGCCTGAGACTGAGGTCTCATTGGACATTCCTTGAGATTTGCGGTCATTGAGGCTGGCAGAGGGGAAGGGATGTCCCCACACTCATGCCGGCGGTTAGTGATGGAGCTGGGCCAGAACTTGTCCCCTCCTCTGAGCCCAATCACCAGGTGCCCCCAGGTGTGGCTTGTTCTTTGGTTATTTCTTCCTTTTCACGCACTCTGAGAAGAGGTTTCCTAGCCATGCAGCTTCCTATCCACGTCTTTTGCTTTTCACTTTTCTCAGCTAGAATGGTCAAAGTAGGCACCCAACCCCCTCCCAGCCCCTCTTCTACCCACCCTCGCCTTAGGGAGCACAGCCAGACTTTCCCACTCCCCAGGCTTTGTACCTGCTCATTTTTCCTCCCAGGTTGAGCTCAACCATTCTTGACCAGGCAGTTTCTTCCACCTTAAAGCCCAGATCGAATGTCGTCTTCCTGCTACCCCTAGACTATCTGATGCAGAAGCAGTTCCTCCTTTTCTGGGCACTGTCAGGCTTTTGCCCAAAATGTGTCCCCAGTACCTAGGACAGGGCCTGATGGGGATGTGGGTGATTGTGGTGAAGCTATGGAAAGGACCCTGGAGATGAAGCGCAACTCCTCATCCCACAGGTAGATGGGAAGAGATGTACCCACACTCGTGCAGGTGGTCATCCAGATGCAGAGGGAGCTGCAGGAGTTCAGGCAGGAGTGACAGACAGACCCAGGAAGAAACCTGGGAAGAAGGGAGTCTCAGGGGGTTGGGCTTCCTCTTAACCTTATACGATCCAGTACCTGCCTGTGGTGACACTGGGAAGGTAGGAGGGAGCCCGCACCTACAGAGGCCACCTTCCCAGACTCTGGTACCCAGCCCATTGATTAGCCATTGTGATAAAGAAGTCCTCTAAATTGGGATGTCCCATCAGACCTGAGTTGTGAAGACTCTGATCAATTCACTCTTCCCTGCTTCCCTAATATAATCTAGACTCTCCAGCTTCTCTACCTCCCCACCTTGGCTGAGACCTCTCCCTTCTGGAAGCCCTCATGGACCTCTGCCTTCACTTCCTGAGGCTCTCAACACTTTCTGCCTCAGTTACTAATATAATGAGACAGAAATAATACAAGGTGGTCATAGGAGAAAATTCCAGGCAGCAGTTTCACACACACACACACACACACACACACACACACACACACACACACACACCCCTGTTGAAATAGCTGTATAACAAAAAGGAAACTGTTGAAATAGCTGCAGAAGCTTGGGCCAATAAGACCCTGAAAACCAGGATGTGGCCAAGCTGGTTAAGAACGACTCAACCCAACATGGTGCTGGATTTGACCTCAGTTTCACCAATGACCTCGTTATATGCTCATTAACATAATCACACACCCACCAGTGCCATAACAGTTCTGGAACACCCATATTTAGCGTAAAAATGGGTGGCACCACATTTCCAAAAAGTCCTCACCTTTTCCCAGAAATCTTCATGGATACTCCACCCGTTGGTTAAAGAAACCCATAAAGTTAGAAACCACAACCCCCCTTAAGTGACTCTCTCTGAACACACCCTCACTCCCCTTTCTTGAGTGTATGCTTTTGCTTTGCAATAAATCTCTGTACTTTCACTATATTCTGACTGAGCCTTGAATTCCTTCTCTTGACAGTGTCTGGAGGCCAGGGTCGTGAACCAAGGTTCTAGATCAGGCCTCACTTTCTTCATCTTCGGGATGAGGAGTTCGGCTTCATCTCCAGAGTCCTCTCCATAGCTTCACCACAATCACTGAGCCCTAATCAGGCCAGTCCCAGGTGCTAGGGACACAGAAGGAGTCCCTGTAACAAGATTCATGTGCAAGTGATTTATCAAGAAGGTGCCTCCCAGGGAAACCAGTAAGGGAGTGGAAGCAGGAGAGGGAGGGAAGAAGCCAAGCAAGGGAGTCCCACAGAGGGTAGCTTCGGGCCGACACACACAGCACTCTGCAGTGTAAGTTAAGCCTCAGGATGTCCTGTGCCAGGATCAGGGAGTGAGGCATCACAGTCCCACACCTGCCAGCCATTAGCTGAGGGAAAGTTTAATTCCCAGGTACTTCAGTCTGTCTGCGTTTACTGGAAAAGTTTCCAGTAGCCTGGGCAGGTGGCTGAAGGAGTCACAGGTGTGTAGCCCATTGAGAGCAAAACCACACAGCAGGCAGGGGAGTCCACAGAGCCAGCAAAAGACATGTGAGGGGTGTGGGTGGAGCCCCTACAGTGCCCATCTTTGAGACAAGCACCATCCCTGTGTTCAAGGAGCTCACAGAGGAGAAATGGGTATGCAAACAGGCTAATTCAGTTTCACCTGCGATCTTGGGTATTACTTGTCCTCACCTTTCTGAAGATCACCTTTGCAAGATCACTTGCAAAACAGGAAGTTATAAACAGGAGATTGAAGTGTGTATTGCACTGGGAGGGAAAGAGGGAGGGGCTGAACTGGCATTATCAAACCTGATTTGCATCTCCCTCCCACTCCCTGCCCCAAGTGCAGGCTGCCGTGGCAAAGACAGCCGAGATGGTTAGGACACCTCAGGAATCACAGGGCCCTGGCTCCCCACAGACTAATTGCAAGGCCAGGATATCAAAAGGGACTGATCTTCCCAGGGATGCGGGCATGTTTTCATAATTCTGACAACCTCCTTTCATCCTCCATCTCTGACATCGACAGAGACATTAATCAAGTCATTTCCTGTGCAAATCCACACTCCCATCTTCAGTTCTCAGGGCCCAGGAGGTGAGGATGGGGGAGGAACAGGGGCTCAGGCCCTGAGAGGGCTGTCTCTGGGTGACAAAACTGAGACTCTGTGAAGAGGGGGCCCTGTTTTACCAGGTGATGTTGGAATGCAAGCCAAATACTTGTGGGAAGTTCAGGCACTGCCAGAGCCAACAAAAGGGGGTTGTTTCCAAGCCATGGTTCCCAAACTCTGTTCCTCCAAGCCCTCCATTGCAAGAAGGGACCATCAAGGTCACCAGGAGGGAAGGAACAAGAAACTCTGTCCCCGTACTTCAACACATGGCATTCCATGAGAGGCCACTGGAAAAGGCATTTGCAACTGGAAGAACCCCAGGTGCACTGATCTGGTGAAGCCACTCCTCTTAAGGCTGCGAAGCCTGGGAGGGGGCTTGGGGAGGAGGGAGGGGAGAGCTCCAGCAAGTTGAGATGGAGCCCGGCCTGGACCCACAGCTCCAGGTTCTTGGTTTATTCCCATCCGCTTATCCCTACCTCCAACAGAATCTGAAATTCAGTGCATGAGGCCTGAAAGGGACCCGAGAGGTGATTCCGTGGAAATTTCCTCCTTCCATCAGATGCCTGGGTGCTCTCACAGCATCAGTGACAAATCCAGCCTTAGCTTGGACACGCCCAGCGATTGCATGCTCACTGCTTCCTGTGTCCCTCCCTTCTGTCTTTGTATAGCTCTGTATAAAAGTCTTCCTCCATTGCTGCCTGAACTGCCCATGGCTCAACTTTCTCACTGTGCCTCTGGGGCTATGTGGAGAGACTCTGTCTCTCTCTCATAGAATAGAGCCCTTTAGGTAGAAACAGTAGTAACTACAACCGTAATAGTACCCTACTCCTTAAAAAGAATTTCTATTAGCCCTCCCATTCAACTTCTACCTTAGGGACGCTTCATAGTAACAGCAAAGATGTTTTACTGCTTTGCTATTCACATAGTATTTTCACCTTCACTGTGCCTCATTTCTCACAAGAACCCCGTCCAATATGCACAGTAGGGATCCTATCTGTCCATTTGTCAGCAGTGGCCAACAGAAGGGCTGGGATTTGTCAAGATTCAGCACAGATGGACCCCAAAGTTCCCATTTTCCTGAGTCGAGGCATTGGATGCTGCACCCCCATGGCAACGGGGCCCTTGTTCTCTCATCTAGCAGGTGTCGCCGGTGCTTCCCTCGAGGGCCCATCCAACTTTGCAATCCCCCTAATTGGGGTGACATTGAAACGTGTGTTTGGCTCCTGTGGTTGTGATATTTAAATCATCTCAGTCTCACATGGGAGGGTGGGGAGGTGGCTGCACGGCTCTGAGCCCCGGAAGAAACCCTGAGTCTGTGAGTATCCGTTCCCCCTCCTCAGCCTGGCTGCCTGCAGTCATGTGGGCCCTAATGGTTAAATTCCACATGGGGGTCTGACCTGCAGATGCAGGGCAGCTCTGGCCGGCAGAAAGCAGCTGAGTGCCACTTACTCATAATGCCAGCTGATTCATTTTTCATTCACTCGGCCAGTTGGTGGATGAATTAAGTGATGCAGCCGGAATTAGCAGCTACAGGCTTCACTTTGCCAGCATTAACATCTCCAGTTTTAAGCTCCTTTAGATAGACACGGTGAGGGAGAGGAGGAACATTGGGTTGGGACTTAAGGTGAACTGGGTTCAAATCCCAGTTCTGCTACAACAGTTTGGTTGTATTGCTTTGGGCAAGTCCCTTCCCTGTCCTGGGCTTCATTTTGCTGGTCTTTACCATGAAGGGATTTGCATCTGGAGATTTCAAAGGGGGACTTTTCAGGATGCCACTCTTCACAGCCTTGTTCATGAACCAGTTAGCTAAACGGCAAGGACAGACAAGAGGTTGCAAACTGATGGCCCACGGCTTGGATTTGTCCCATGGATGTGCTTTATTGAAGAAGCATACTGTTATGCAAGGGTATATTTTTATTTTGAAAGTGTTGGCCGGGCGTGGTGGCTCACGCCTGTTATCCTAGCACTTTGGAAAGCCAAGGAAGGTGAATCACTTGAGGTCAGGAGATCGAGACTAGGCTAGCCAACATGGGGAAACCCTGTCTCTATTAAAAATACAAAAATTAGTTGGGCATGGTGGTGGGCACTTGTTATCCCAACTGCTTGGGAGGCTGAGGCAGGAGAATCGCTTGAACTCGGGAGGCGGAGGTTGCAGTGAGCCGAGATTGCACTGCTTCGCTCCAGCCTGGGCGACAGAGTGAGACTGTGTCTCAAAAAAAAAAAAAAAAAAAAAAAAAGTGTTTGATGGGAAATGCACATCCCAGTTTGGCCCATTCCCCAACATCTCCTATTTTCCTACACCTGGCACCTTTTGGTCACTCACGTTACTCTATCGGGCATCTGATGACATTTGAGTTTGCAACCCTCAGGTCAGTGGAATCACTTTCTATATACAGAATAGTAAGAGTGAAGACAGCAATTCCCACATTGTTTTATGGTTCCAGTTTAACCAAACCAGTTTCTATCCACTGAAGTGTTTGGCTTAATGCTAGGTCTCTACACAGTTTCACAACATCTCAATTTCCTTATTTTCTATCCACATAGGATTGTGGTAAGATTCAAGTTGGTCATATACAGTGGGGATTAAATTTATTATTCTAAAAGCTGCTTGCCAGAGTCATTGCATTTTAGAGATGAACGCTAAATTCACCTTAGTGGACGATTGCTTTGTTTGGGAAAACACACTATTAGACCTTTGTTATCTAAAAGCAAGGCCCAGGACTTGGTTTTAAGGAGTGAGAGGCAGTGGTGGAGGTTGTGATGGACGGATAAGAACAGTAATGCTTCAAATAATATAGTGAGATTCAGCCTTACTTGGGTAGAGAGTTTATGAAGTTAACTGATTCCAGATTTCTTGAGAGCTCAAAAACAAGATTGGGGGGGAACTTGAGACACAGGAAAGAGGACACAGGCAAAGGATCTTGTCCCCAAGCAGGAGTGAACTTGAGCAGCATGGATCAAGGTGACTCCCCAGCAGGGTACAGCTTCTTTGACTGTAATACTCATTTTTTAAACTAAAAATGTTGACAAATGTCAACACACTAGAATGGGAGTTGACAAACTATGGCCTGTGAACTCAGCCCACTGCCCATTTTTGTATGGCCTGAAAGCTAAGAATGATTTTTATATTTTTAAGCATTTAAAAAACTCAAAAGAAGAATATTTTGTAACATGTGAAAATGATGTAAATTCAAATGTCAGTGTCCATAAATAGAGTCTTATTGGAACACAGCCATACTCATTTGTTTATGTTTTGTCTGCAACTGCTTTCATACCGTGACAGAATTGAGTAGTTGCAATAGAGACTGTGTGACTGCGTGTGGGGCTCCACAGTGTACAATCACTGGAGTAAGTGGGCATAGATCCCTTGGAGGAGAAATGGCGGAGTCATCACAGTATATACTTGCTGTGGTGTTTTGGAATCCTTTTCCCTAGGGACTAGCCTCCTCCTGGGTCAATGGACTCTGGATATGAAAACTGGCTCATGCCTATGAACCGAGTGAGTAAGCATGCCCTCTTACTAGGGGGCCATCCTTAGCCTCCTGCTCCTTTATTCATGTGTTCTTCCTACAGGAGATGTTAAGCAGCACCTTTGTGGGCTGCCCGTGTATTTTACTGCTAAGTACACTCTCTTAGTCAGCTTGGGCTGTGTATTCATCTTCAGAGAGACAGAACCTATAGGATATATGAAAAGGGATTTATTAGGGAGAATTGGCTCACATGATTACAGAGGTGAGAAAGTCCCTTGATGGGCCATCAGCAAGCTGGAGAACCAGAAATGCTGGTAGCATGGCTCAGGACAAGTCTAGAAGCCTCAGAACCAGGGAAGCCCATGATGCAGCCCCAGTTCGAGGCCAAAGGCCAGACAGTCCCCTGGAGGATGCTGGTGCAAGTCCCAGAGTCTAAAAGCCAAAGAATCTGGAGTCTGATGTCCAGGGGCTGGAAGAGGAAAGAGAGCTCATTAGGTTTAAAGTCATGAGGATGGAGCCCCCATAATGGGATTGGTGCCTTTATAAGAAGAGGAAGAGACCAGAGCTCACTGTCTTTCTGCCATGTAAGGATACATCAAGAATGCAGCCATCTGCAAGCCAGGAAGAGGGCCTTCTCCAGGAATAGAATCAGCCAGCACCTTGATCTTGGACTTCCCAGTCCAAGAGTCTCTCCAGAAGGGAGAGAGAGAGAATCCCTCTTCTTCTGCCTGAATGTCCAAGTCAGGCCCCCAGCTGACTAGAGAGTGTCCACCCATATTAAGGGTGGGTCTTCCTCTGTCAGTCCACTGCCTCACACTTCAGTCTCCTCTGGAAGCACCCTCACAGACACACCCAGAAACAATGCTTCACCAGCCATCTGGGTATCCGTCAATCCAGTCAAGTTGACACCTAAAATTAATCATAGGTTGCAATGACAAAATACCATCGATTGGGTGGCTTAAACAACAGACACTTACTTCTCACAGTTCTGGATGCTGGGAAGTCCAAGATCAAGGTGCTGGCTGATTCTATTCCTGGAGAAGGCCCTCTTCCTGGCTTGCAGATGGCTGCATTCTTGATGTATCCTTACATGGCAGAAAGACAGTGAGCTCTGGTCTCTTCCTCTTCTTATAAAGGCACCAATCCCATTATGGGGGCTCCATCCTCATGACTTTGAACCTAATGAGCTCTCAAAGGTCTCAGCTCTCAACACCATCACACTGAGGGTTAGGGTTTCAACAAAAGAATATGGTAGGGGGAACACACATCCCGTCCATAATAGACCCTATGTTCTATTTACACTGCTACAACTTCCTGTGGTGGGAAGCTCCAGTCTGGCTGGTTGTTACCATATTGCCTGCATCACCACCCCACAAGTGCTACCACCTGGCCTCTCTATTACTTCAAGGCCTATGATGTTCATGGCTGTCTACAAACCCAGCTCTGTGACTGCCTGTCCTCCTGTCAACCCTGGTTGGCAGAGGACAGCCACCACTTAGGGGTGTGGATGCTCCAGTCACCAGAAAAAACCTGATGGTTTGGTGAATGTCAAGTCCTTGGGGCATCCCATGGAACATAATCTTCGGGTGGATCTTCCGGCCTCATATAAGATATCGACTCCAGCATGCTCACCTCCCTGAGCCTCTGAACCCTCCTTCTACCACCTGCCAAGGTAACTCCAGCATCTTCACCTTGCTCAGGTTGTCCATCAGCATTGCCAGTCTTCTTCTAAGAGCCACCCTAGCAATGAATTTGCCTCTAACCCTGGAGTCCTTGCTGGGGTGTTAAGTCTCAGTGTCCCAAAAAAGTGCCCCCAGGTCAACAAATTATCTCTTATTTAGTCACATGTTCCAGCCTCCTGGTCAAGCACCCCCAAAATCCAATCCCAGGGCTACTCTCCTGGCTTCTCATGCTACATGCTAGCTAATTCTCACACCTCCTTTGAGGTGTAATCTCTTTCCTCCCTTATCAGACTCAGCACGTCCCAAGCCAAGTTCTAGGATTTAATCCTGGTTAGCAGCCTGACAAAGGGGGAGCAGCTCCTGAGGACAGGGCTCCTGCTTCCTTGAGGAGAGAGGGGTTGGTGTGGGGGGTGCAAGGTTTCTGCAGTGTCTTCCTACAAGGAGGAAATGCAAGCTCCTACTACAGAAAGGTGGGCCACCTCTGGAAATGCTGGCAGTTCAGGAGGGGTCTACAGACCCTGCAGATTCTTGCAGACATCTCCCAGAGGTCCCCACTCATGTTTCAAGATTTTATGTTTCCCTAACCAGGACCTACCTTAGCTTAATAGACCTGTCTTCCCTGGACATCTAAACATCTATGGCCCTCAGCAACTCTATCAAGTCCCGAGTCTGGTTTTATGGCAAAGGTAATGATTTCTTTGTGCTCTACCAAAGGGGCAGCTCAGGCTCTCACATTCAGCCTTTAACGGTTTGTTAAATGCCCTGAATTTCTCACTATCCCTCTGCAGGGTGTCACACCTTTGTCAAACCCAGCCAAATCCACAGTTCTTGTTGGCCTTGTTCCCTCTATTCCTTCAAGTATGTGTACTATTGTACCATCCAGGGTGTTATTCTCCACTGGGACATTTTCCCAAGTCACCACTTGTGAAATTTTCAGCAGTTGGGCCACCACCTTGTGCCAAGGACTATCAATGTCCCACATTCCACGTGTCCCACTTGGGATGGAAGCCTCCTTAACACAGCCAGTCAGTGAGGAAGTGGGGCCCCAAAGCCCATCATTCTACTGCCTGCTCTCTGACACTCTACTTCTGCTAGGGTGGGGCCTCCAAGATGCAGGCACCAGGATAGGGTCCAATGTGCAAGAGATGTATTAGGAGAAACACCTGTGAAGGAGAAAGGGTGCTGGAGTAGGAGTAGGTGGGGAGAGCCTTCAGACAATGATGCAGGTCTGACACCTGTGGAAGGAGAATGGGAAGGAAAGATTGTCAGGAAGGAAGAGTATCAGATACCATGCAACTCGAGAAAGGTCTTGGCCAGGGAAAGTTACCAAAGACAGGTAGCCTGTTAGAGGAATTGTGTAGTAGGCAGGAAGGAGCCAGCACCTGTATCCCTCTGTGCTGAGTCTTTAGCTGGGAGCAGTCCTGGGAAGCATGGCCTTGGGGTGAATGCTATGATAGATTCAACTGTCAGTCAACTCCACCCTGTCACAGGCTCTCTTAAAGGGACCAACACGCCCACCACAATATCTCCATTGGTTTGTCCCACCTTTCATGCAACGTCATTAAAATTAATAGCTTACTGATGGCTGGGCTCGGTGGCTCATGCCTGTAATCCCAGCATTCTGGGAGGCTGAGGTGGGCGGATCACCTGATGTCAGGAGTTCAACACCAGCCTGGCTAACATAGTGAAACCCCATCTCTACTAAAGATACAAAAATTAGCTGGGTGTGGTGGTGGACGCCTGCAATCCTAGCTACCCAGGAGGCTGAGGCACGAGAATCACTTGAACCCGGGAGGCGGAGGTTACAGTGAGGAGAGATCACGCCACTGCACTCTAGCCTGGGGGATAGAGGGAGACCGTGTCACCTAAAAAAAAATCTCTATATAGATATATAGAGATATAGATATATAGAGATAAAATCTATCTCTATATATCTATATAGATAGATTTTACATATTTATATAGGGATATATATATATATGAGAGTGAGAGAGAGAGAGAGAGTTAGTTTACTGACCATCAAGCCAGGCAAAGAAAGGCATGGAGTCAGATAGAATCCAATCAGGTGTTATTTTAAATTTTGTTATAAGTGATATCCCTGTCAAAAAGAAAAAAATAGGGAATTCAATTTGGTATTGCACAAAGTGATAAGTTGGATGAAACTAGGTACAACACAATTGTTGAGGGGAGGGGTGTTGCAAACTCAAATTACGTAATTTAGGTCATGGTATAACTCAAATCTAAGGGGCCTGAATTGAAAGTCGACCTGCTCTGGGCTTGGAACCCCCTGAAGTCACATTAAAAAGCGCTTGAGAGGAATCACCCAGGATGATTACGTTTTAGTCTTCAGTGCCAACCACTACCTCTGGCCACCAGTACCTGCAGCCTGTGAGATGGTACCAATAGCATGACCGTAATGACTGACCCAGAACCTCAGCTCACCTGAAATGAGGGTGCTGTAGCTGGGTTGGCAACCTCAGTTTTCTTGGGATAAGAAAGCAGTTCCCACAGTGAAAAGGTGTCTTTTTAACCCCTGGAAGGTATAAATTAAATACATAAATAATGAAGTCAATTAATAGTAATACATTTATGTTAAACTTAGGAATGATCTGTATATACTTGATATTTGTAGGTTTTGTGATGTGTAAGAGAATTTGGCATATCTGAGATTACACTGTAAATATGTAATTAAGTAACTGATTTTTGACTTGTGATTTTGCATTAAAAGTTGTAAGAGAATCTGATGAGTTTAGTAAATAGTGTTGGAATGTTTATGAAAATCTGAGATTCACCATATTTATGACTTTAATTTATTAAATTTACAAGAATAATTTTAAGTGCTTAGAAAGGTTTTGCTTGTTAGGCACCAAAGTGCCCCAAACAAAAACAGATGCATCACATGTATATATAAATGCACTTCAAAAGGCTTAAGGGGATTTAATAAAATGAGTTGTAAATGAGGCTGTTTCAGGGAATTTGGATTTACAGTTAGGATAATAAAATTCAAAATTAATCTTAAAGGCTTAGGGAAAAATAGGTTTTTATAGTTTGTTACTTTTTTCTGCACCCAAAAAGTAATAATTCTGAAGTCATCAAGAACTCCAGCTGACACTTGCTATATCTAAAAATGAATTCAGAATTGTTCCCTACCCTAGGAGCTAAACGTTGGCTCCTGAATGGTGAACAGCAGTACCACACGCACAGGGGTTCAGATGAGTCCCGGGGCACCCTTGCTTCTCCCTGTCCTCCTCTCCACATCTAAATAGCTCCCTGGCACTTACCCATCCTTCAGGCCTTTGGGCTCTGCCCTCCTGTCTCCCCTGCCCCTTGGGCTAGCATTACCCCTGCCCCAGGTTTCTCATCTGCCTCGCAGGAATCTCCCTGCCTCTGGTCTTCTCTCCTCTCACCTTTCTTTTCTTCCATTAGAAGAAGAATTGCAAAGACACTGCTGAGTGGAGAAGGAAGCCCAGCCTGCGTGACTCTGGCTGTCTTTGTGTATCTGCTGGCCATGACAGCCCCAGAAGTCTGTAGATGGTCCTCCCAGGTCTGAGTTGCAGCTTTTTGCCTGCAATGTCACTGTCTTCCTCACCAGCCCAGCCTGCTTTGTTGTTGTTCTTTGAACCTTTTTAAAAATTTTATTGATGCATAATAGATGTACATAGTCTGGGGGTATGTGCGATAATTTAACACATTTATATAATTTGTAAAGATCAAATCAGTGTACTTGGGATATCCATCACTTAAATATTTGTCTTTCCTTTATGTCAGAAACATTCAAATTATTCTCTTCTAGCTATTTTGAAGTGTACAACAGATTATTGTAAACTATAGACACCTTAACGGTCTAACACTAAGCCTTATTTCTCCTATCAAACTACATTTGTACACATTAATCAACCTCTCTTCATCTCCTCCTCCCCACTACTCTTCTCAACCTCTGGCAACCACCAATTTATTCTCTATCTTAATGAGATTCACTTTTTTAGCTCCCACATATGGGTGGGAATAGGCGATATTTGTCTTTCTGTACTTGGCTTATTTCACTTAACATAATGACCTCCCGTTCCATTCATGTTACTGCAAATGACAGGATTGCATTCTTTTTTATGGCTGAATAATATTTCATTCTGTATATAAACCATGTTTTTTAATCCATTTATCCATTGATGGGCCCTTGGGTTGATTTCATATTTTGGCTATTGTGAATGGTGCTGCAATAAACATGGAAGTGCAGGTATCTTTTCAATATATTGATTTCCTTTCTTTTGGATATATAGCTTAGATTTTTTCTAAGGTCCTTAGGTTTTTCTAAGTATATAAGTATATATTTTGCATTCCCAACAGTGGGAATGAAAAAAAAGCCATTTTATCTGAGGTGAGATGATATCTCATTGTGGTTTTGATTTGCATTTCTCTGATGACTAGTGATGTTAAGCATTTTTTCATATATCTGTTGGCCATTTGTATGTCTCTTTTGAGAAATATCTATTCAGATCTTTTATCCATTTTTAAATCATATTATTTGGGTTTGTGCTAATGAGTTGTGTGAGCTCCTTACACAATCTGGTTATTAATCCTTTGTCAGATGAGTAGTTTGCAAATATTTTCTCTCATTCTGTGGGTTGTCTCTTCACTTTGTTGATTGTTTCCTTTGCTGTGCAGAAGCTTTTTAGCTTGAGGAAATCTCATTTGTCTAGTTTTGCTTTGGTTAGCTGTGCTGTTGAGGTCTTACAGGAAAAATTTAATGTCATGCAGCATTTCTCCAATATTTTCCTCTAGTAGTTTTATAGTTTTATGTGTTATTTTTAAGTATTTAATCCAATTTTTGATTTTTGTGTATGTGAGAGATAGGAGTCTAGTTTTTTGTTTTTGTTTTGTTTTGTTTTGTTTTTGGTTTTGGTTTTTTCTTGAGATGGGGTCTTGTTCTCTCACCCAGGCTGGAGTGCAGTGGCATGATCATGGCTCATTGCAGCCTCAAACTGCTGGGCTCAATTGATCCTCCCACTTCAGCCTCCTAAATAGCTGGGACTACAGGCGTGTGCCACCACACCTGGCCAATTTTTTTTTTTTTTTTTTTTTTTTTGTAGAGTTGAAGTTTTGCCATGTTGCCCAGGCTGGTCTCAAACTCCCGGGCTCAAGATATCTGCCTGCATTGGTCTCCCAAAGTGCTGGGATTACAGGTGTGAGCCACTGCACCCAGACAAGTTTCATTCTTATGCATATAGTTATCCAGTTTTCCCAGCCTCATATATTGAAAAGATATTTATTGCATGTTCTTGACTGACAATGCATGGATTTATATCTGGGTGCTCTGATCTGTTCCATGTATGTATCTGTACCTATCTGTATAGCCAGTACCATGCTAATTTGGTCACTATAGCTTTGCAGTAAGTTTTTTGTTTGTTTTTGAGACAGAGTTTGGCTCTGTTGCCCAGGCTGGAGTACAGTGGTATGATCTCGGCTCACTGCAACCTCCGCCTCCAGGGTTCAAGCAATTCTTCTGCCTCAGTCTCCTGAGTAACTGGGATTACAGGCACGCACCACCATGCCCGGCTAATTTTCGTATTTTTAGTAGAGACAGGGTTTTGCCATGTTGGCCAGACTGGTCTTGAACTCCTGACCTCAGGTGATCTGCCCACCTTGGCTTCCCAAAGTGCAGGGATTAAAGGCGTGAGCCACCCTGCCCAGCCTGCAGTAAGTTTTGAAGTCAGGTAGTGTGAGGCCTCCAGCTTTGTTCTTTTTGCTCAGAATTGTTTAGGCTATTCAGGGTCTTTTGAATTTCCATATAGATTTTAGGATTTTTTTTCCTATTTCTTGAAGAATGTCATTAGTATTTTGATAAGCATTGCATTGAATCTGTAAATTGCTTTGGGTAGTATTGTCATTTCAATACAGATTCTTCCAATCCATGAGCATGGAATATTTTGCCATTTTTTGGTGTCCTCTTCAATTTCTTTCATCAGTGTTTTATAGTTTTCCTTGTATAGATGTTTCAGTTCTTTGGCTAAATTGATTTCTGCGTATTTTATATTCTTTATAGCTATTGTAAACAGATTTCTCAATTTTTCTCAGATTATTCACTGTTGGCATATATAAATGCTACTGAATTTTGTATGCTGATTTTGTATCCTGCAACATTACTGAATTCATTTATCAGTTCTAACAGTTTTTTTGGTGGAGTCCTTAGGTTTTTCTAAATATAAGATCCTGTTGTCTGAGAGCAAGGCTAATCTGACTTCTTCCTTTCCAATTGGGATGCCCTTTATTTCTTTCTCTTGCCTACTTGCTCTGGCCAGGACTTCCAGTATTACGTTGAATAAAAGTGGTAAAAAATAGGCATCTTTGTCTTGTTCCAGATCTCAGAGGAAAGGCCTTCAATTTTTCCCTGTTCAGAACAATGTTGGCTATGGATTTGTTATATATGACCTTTATTATTTTGAGGTATATTCCTTCCATTCCCAGTTTGATGAAGGTCTTTATCATAAATGGATGTTGAATTTTATCAAATGCCTTTCTGGCATCTATTGAAATAGTCATATGTTTTTCATTCTTAGTTCTTGGTTCTGTGAATGTCATGTATTATGTTTATTGATTTGTGTATGTTGAACCATCCTTGCATACCGGGGATAAATCCCACTTGATCATGGTTAATGATCTCTTTAGTGTGTTGTAGAATTTGGTTTGCTAGTATTTTATTGGGAATTTTTGCATCTTGGTTCATCAGAAATATTGGCCTACAGTTTTCTTTTCTTGCTGTATCCTTGTCTGGTTTTGATATCAGGGTAATGCTGGCCTCATAGATAGAATGAGTTTGGAAGTATTCCTCCTCTATTTTTTTGAAGAGTTTGAGTAGAATTGGCATTAATTCTTCGGCTTTGTTTATTTTTGTTTTTTAAGAGACAGTCTCACTCTGTCACCCAGGCTGGAGTGCAGTAGTGTAATCTTACCTCACTGAAGCCTTGAACTCCTGGGCTCAAGTGATCCTCCCATCTCAACCTCCTAAGTACCTAGAACTACAGGCATGCACCACCGTACCCAGCTAATTTAAAAAATTTATTGTAGAGAATCTGAATGATCTTTCCATCACTGAGAGTGGGGTGTTAAAGTCCCCTACTATTATTGTATTGCAATCTATCTCTTGCTTTAGATTGCTTTTCATATTTGGGATCTCTGGTGTTGAGTGCCTACATATTTAAAATTGTTACATCTGCTTGAGAAACTGACCCCTTTATCATTATATAGTGACTTTCTTTGTCTCTTTTTACAATCTTTGACTGACTTGTAGTCTATTTATCTAACTATAGCTATAGCTACTTCTGCTTTTTTTTTTTTTTTTTTGGTTCCAGTTGTACGGACTCTTTTTTTACCCCTTCATTTTCAGTCTATCTTTACAGGTGGGTTTCTTGTAGGCAGCATATAGTTGGATCTCATTTCTATCCATTCAGCCACTCTCTTCCTTTTAATTGGAGAATTGAGTTCCTTTATATTTAGTACTATTATTGACAACTAAGGACTCACTACTGTCATTCTGTTGCTTGTTTTCTGATTGTTTTGTAACTCTTCTCTTCCTTTCTTCATTTCTTACTGCCTTACTTTGTGGTTCAGTGATCTTCTCTGGCAGTATGTTTTAATTTGTTTTTGTTGGTTTTTTTGGAGACAGAGTCTTGCTCTGTCTCCTAGGCTGGAGTACAGTGGTGCAATCTCAACTCATTGCAACCCCTGCCTCCCAGGTCCAAGTGATTCTCCTGCCTCAGCCTCCCAAGTACCTGGGATTACAGGCACCTGCCACCACATCTGGCTAATTTTTGTATTTTTAGTACAGACAGGGTTTTGCCATGTTGGCCAGGCTGGTCTTGAACTCCTGAGCTCAGGTGATCCACCCACCTCGGCCTCCCAAAGTGCTGGGATCACAAGTGTGAGCCACCACGCTCAGCCTAATTTGTCATTTTTTATTTTTAGTGAACTCACTATAGGGTTTGCATTGTGATTACCATGCGGTTTACAAAAAAAAAACTTATAGATGTAACATTATTTTAAAGAGAAGATATCTTATTTTAGATCACATAGAATAGAAACAAAGAAAAAATGAAAATAAAAGTTTACATTGTAACTCCATCGCCTCCACATTTTGACTGTTAGTTGTTTCAATTTACATATTTTTATATTACCTGTCTCTTAACAGGTTGTTGTAGCTATTATTGTTTTTGACAGATTTATATTTTGGGTTTCATACTAGAGTTATAAGTGCATTTCATACCACAATTACAATATTAGAGTATTCTGCATTTGTGCATGTACTTAATTTTACCAGTGTGTTTTATACCTTCAAATATTTTAAATTTTGTTTTGTTTTTGCATATTAGTGTTTTTTTCTTTCAGATTGAATAACTCCCTTTAGCATTTCTTTCTTTCTTTTTTTTCCTTACAGTAGATATTATCCGAAAACCTTTAGCATTTCTTGTAAGATGAACCTGGTGGTGGTGAATTCTCTCAGCTTTTGTTTGTCTGGAAAAGTCTATCTCTCCTTCATTTTTGAAGAATAACTTTGCTTGATACAGTATTTTTTGATGGTAGTTTTTTCCTTTCAGCACTTTAAAAATGTCATGTCACTCCCTCCTGACCTATATGGTTTCCATTGAGAAGTCTCTTGCCAGAAAGACTTTATGTTTTACTTGCTTCTTTTCTCTTGCTATTTTTAGGATCTTCTCTTTGTCCTTGACATTTGAGAGTTTGATTATGATATGCCTTGGAGTAACCTTGTTTGAATCAAATCTGTCTGGTGTTCTCCGGCCTTCCTGTACCTGGATGTTTATATCTTTCTCAAGTTTTGGAAAGTTTTCTGTTATTATTTCTTTAAATAAGCTTTCCACCTCTTGCTCTTTCTCAGCTCCATCTTGAACATCAATAACGCTTAGATTTGGTCTTTTGAGGTAATTTTCTATATCTTGTTTGCTTTTCATTATTTTTTTCTCCTCTGACTGTGTATTTTCAAATAGCCTGGTTTCAAGCTCACTGATTCTTTCCTCTGCTTGATCTATTTTGCTGTTGGGAGCCTCTAATGAATTTTTCAATTCAGCAAATGTATTTCTCAGTTTTAAGATTTCTGTTTGATTATTTTGTTATTTCAATCTCTTTGTTGAATCTCTCTAATAAACTTCTAAATTGCTTTCCCGCATTACCTTGAAGATCCCTGAGTGTCCTTAAAACTGCTATTTTGAATTGTTGCTCAGAGAGCTCACACATCATTGTCTTGCTGGGGTCCATTACTGATTCCTTGCTTTGTCCATTTGGAGAGTTCATGGTTCTCTGTCTGCTGTTGGTTCTTGTGGATGTGTGTCTATGTCTTTGCATTGAGGGATTCGTTATTCATTTTAATCTCCATATAGCTTGTTTTGCTTTTATTGGATATATTTGCTTAGAGGTTCTTTATTGCTAAATCACTGTCTTCTTTTTGGCTCTAGATGGCATCTTAAGCCCACATTTGCTTTGGCTGTAGTAAATGATTGGAGCACTGCCCTTCCTAAATGGGGTTTCTCAGCAGTGTGGGAAGCCTGGCTAGGGGTTTGTGCCCAGGGGACCTGTGGAATGGACCTCCTACAGCATAGTGCAAATGAACCACCACTCTGATTTAATGTCTCCTTTGGCAAAGTTACAAAGCAGAATTTCCAGAGATGAGGATGCTTGTCTCACCTCCCCACTTTCTGTCTGCCTGTCCTCAGGGATAGTTCTCTCTTTGGTCACTTAGTGATGCTTCCCATGGTTTAGGCAGAGGTCTACTGCCAGGGAAACCAAGGTGGTGGGGAAGCTGGTTGTCCACCTCGATCTCACTTTTTCTACTGTAGACATTGTGTGTTGGGGGAAATTTTTTCATGCTCTTGGTGCTGGGAAGAATGGGAGAAGGGGTTCACAATTGTGAAGCTCAATTTTTCTTACTGTCTGCTTAGAGATTTTTCAATTCTCTGTGGCCCCAGGAACTGTTTCATCTTCATTCTTGAGTTCTGGGATATTACTGGTGATAATCTTGGCACTGTATATTTATTTTTGGTTTCCTACGTAGGGGGAAGTGAAGCCAGCTTGCTTCTACGCTGCCATTTTGGAACCAGAAGCCCAGCCTACTCTCTTATTGTTAGCCAGACTATGTGCATTAGGAAAGGTGAAGCCTCCTCCCTCTGCTTGCTTGCTCTTTCTTTTTCCTTTTTTTTTTTTGTTTGTTTGTTTGTTTGTTTGTTTTTGTTTTGACAGAGTCTCACTCTGTCACCCAGGCTGGAATGCAGTGATGCAATCTTGGCTCACTGCAATTTCTGCCTCCTGGGTTCAAGTGATTTTTGTGCCTCAGCCTCTCGAGTAGCTAGGAATTACAGGTGTGCCATCACACCCAGATAATATTTGTATTTTTAGTAGGGACAGGGCTTCACCATGTTGGCCAGGCTGGTCTCAAACTCCTGACCTCAAGTGATACACCTGCCTTGGCCTCCCAAAGTGCTGGGATTACAGGCATGAGCCACTGTGCCCATCCTGCCACCTGTTTCTTTTGCTGCAATTCTGAGTTAGGAATGGAAGCCCTGATGAGGGTGAGGGTGACAGTGGCCACCTTCTCTGAGCCCTCCCTTCTGCTGATCACTTTTCTCTAAAGATCTCATCACCCTGACCTAATTCAGTCTCTGCCATTTCTGTATACCAAGGTAAAGATGGGCATTGACTGAAAGACAAGGAAGCAAGGGAAAATTCTACATTTTGTAACCAGAGAGCATGGGAGCAGGTGCCCAATTCCAGCTCCACCATGGACTTTCTGTGTAAGCCTGAGTAAATCCTTTCCCTGTCTGGGCCTGGTTTTCCCTGGCCCTTTATTAAGTAAACAAGACCTTTTCATCCAGCAAAGCCACTTCTAGGTCTTTGTCTGAGAAATATGCTCTTATATGTGCCCAGCAGACAAATAAGGCTTGCAGCCTTGCTAGCAACCATAAATAATGTCAATCTAAAATGTCAATCAATAGAAGAATATGTGAGTAAATTAGAGTACACACATAGACTATGTCAGTCAGGGTCTGATAAGGTTTGGCTGTGTCCTCACCTAAATCTCATCTTGAACTCCCATGTGTTGTGGGAGGGACCCAGTGGGAGGTAATTGAATTATGGGGGCAGATTTTCCCGTTCTGTTCTCAGGATGGTGAGTAAATCTCATGAGATCTGATGGTTATTATAAGGGGGAGTTTTCCTGCACAAGCTCTCTTTTTGCTTGCTGCCATCCACGTAAGACATGACTTGCTCCTCCTTGCCTTCCACCTTGATTGTGAGGCTTCCCCAGCCACATGGAACTGTAAGTCCAATTAAACCCCTTTCTTTTGTAAATTGCCCAGTCTTGGGTATGTCTTTATCAGCAACGTGAAAATGGACTAATACAGGGTCCAGTTAAGAAATACCATTAGGCCAGGCGTGGTGGCTCATGCCTGTAATCCCAGCATTTTGGGAGGCTGAGGCAGGTGGATCACCTGAGGTCAGGAGTTTGAGGCCAGCCTGGATGACATGGTGAAACCCCAGCTCTACTAAAAATACAAAAAATCGGCCTGGCGTGGTGGCTCACGCCTGTAATCCCAGCACTTTGGGAGGCCGAGGTGGGCGGATCACGAGGTCAGGAGATCGAGATCATCTTGGCTAACACAGTGAAACCCTGTCTCTACTAAAAATACAAAAGATTAGCCGGGCATCATGGTGGGCGCCTGTAGTCCCAGCTACTCGGGAGGCTGAGGCAGGAGAATGGCAAGAACCTGGAAGGTGGAGCTTGCAGTGAGCCAAGATTGTGCCACTGCACTCCAGCCTGGGCAACAGAGCAAGACTCCATCTCTAAATAAATAAATAAATAAATAAATAAATAAATAAATAAATAATAAATAAATAAAAATAAAAATGCAAAACATCAGCCAGGCATGGTGGCAGGTACCTGTAATCCCAGCTACTCTGAAGGCTGAGGCAGGAGAATTACTTGAACCTGGGAGGCAGAGGTTGCAATGAGCAGAGATCACACCACTACACTCCAGCCTGAGCAACAGGAGTGAAACTTCATCTAAAAGAAAGAAAGAAAAAGAAAGAAAGAAAGAAAGAAAGAAAGAAAGAAAGAAAGAAAGAAAGAAAGAAAGAAAGAAAGAAAGAAAGAAGGAAGGAAGGAAGGAAGGAAAGAAAGAAAGAAAGAAAGAAAGAAAGAAAGAAAGAAAGAAAGAGAAAGAAAGACAATTAGCACCAGTTATCTTCCTCACAACATTCTGTTACAAAAATATTCAAACATACAGGAAAATTTTTAAAGTTATAAAGCAAACACCCATATACCCACCAAAATTAACATTTGGTCATATTTGCTTTATCATCTATCAATTGATCCATCTGTCTATCCATCTTATTTTTAAATGCATTTTAAAATAAGATACTAAAAAATATGTTTTGCCCAGAAACACTTCAACATGTATATCATTAACTAGAGTTCCATATGTATTTACAGATTTTTTAAAGTAAATTTTTATATAATCAAATGCACAAATCTTAAGTCTTACTATTCAAAGAGTTTTGCCAAGTTCATCCACTGATGTAATTCAAACCCTTCATCAAGAGATAGAAAATATTCTTCACGCCAGGAAGTCCACTCATGCTTTTTCCCATCCAATTCCCACTGCTCCCGCCTCCACCTGCAAACACTTTTCTGTTTTTTTCTTTTTTTTTTTCCTACCAGAGCTTAATTGTATCTGTTCTAGGACATCATGTGAATTGAGACATACCATAAAAGGCCTCTTTCAGTCAGCCCAGTGTTTTTAAGATTCATACATGTGGATGTGCATATCACTAATTTTTGTCTTCTTTGCACAGAGTCGTATCCTGTTGTGTGGATATACCACAGTTTGTCCACTCTTCTGTTGATGGACACCTGGGATATTTCTAGCTTTTATCCATTGTGAACAAAGCTGCTATGGACTTTTGGTTTTTTAACAATTCTTTTTGTGGTCATATGTTTTTATTTGTCTTGGGTAAATACCTCCCCTCCAGAGGATGCAGCGTTCGAGGCGCTGGATTTTATTAATGTTTAGATTTATAAGAAGGATAAAGCACCACCTACCTTCATGTCCTCTCCCATCCTTTGCCTCAGTGTAGATGTAAGCCAGCTGGTGCCATCTCCCTCCCTTCGTGAATTCTGTGTGGAGTCCTCTTCCTGGTTCATCCTTGTTATTGTGCCTTGCTCAGGACCACTCCAGGCCACTAGGTATGCTTCAGTACTTGTAACTCTTATAGGGCTGGGAATCTTTATCCCTTTCTTTTCAGGAGTCCTGCTTCCTTGCAAATGCTCCTATCTCTCCCTCAGAAACCTCCAACCTCCCCACATCAGTTGATGGACATTGGCCTCTATCTAGGCTGATTCGAAGCTCTAAGTGAGCTCTAATGTTCTACAAGCAGGTCTGATTACCCATCGTCACCAGCCTGAGTTCTTTCTGGGCCCATTCAGAGTGGCTAGGGAAGGAGCTGTGAAGCAAGGAGCAGACAGTTGGATTCCTATGACCTGGTCCAAAGATGCAGATTCAGAGCCAACTCCCTGGCCCACCAGACTTTAGCACCTCTTATCTCCCTTGGATGTCTACACTCAGGCCTCATTGCCCACCTGTGGAGGGGCCACCATCTGCAGATGGGCGATGGGGCCTGAGTGGGAACATGAGCGCTCTCCAGCCTCAGTGAAGCTCAGCCTTCACCCAACTGTGTATCATACATAGCACCCCGGTTAAGAATGAGGACAATGGACACAGACACCCTGGTTCCAGACCTGACTCTGGCCGTCTTCACGTGTCTCCTGTTGCTTCTGTTGTGATAAATTTCAAATATAATGCAAACTAGAGAGAGAGGAGCTGCTGCTGGCTCTGCTGAGTTCCTTCTCACCTTACACAACCTGAGCTTTATGACCTAGAGCAAGGTACTTCCCTCTGAGCCTCAGGTTTCTGTCTGTAAAGAGCCATACAAATGGCAGATAGTGGGGTGTTACAATTGACCTATGAGCTTGGGCAGGCCAGGTGAGCCCAGGTAAATGGAAGCCCCTACTACCATTTCATGTGGCCCCTCCCTCTTGAATTCATGCCCAGTCATTATCTCCATCACCCTCTTAATCCTCACCACAGCCTTGGGAGGGGGTGTGGCCGTACAGGAATTATTAACCCCTTTTACAGATGAGAAAATTGAGGGGTAAAGCAGAAAACTGGCCTGCCACATCCCCATGAGGGAGCCTGGGTTTCTGACTCTCTCTGTGCCTGTCCTTCTGTTTAACGTGTTAATTTATGGTGAACTCTCACATGTGGAGAGGAAGAGGGTAGAGCCTCGTGGCTAAAAGCCAGTTAGGAGCCAGCCCACCTGGGTTCCAATCCACCTAGTAGCTCTGCAGCTACTAGGGCAAGTCACCTAACCTCTTTGTTCCTTGGTTTCTTTCTAAGTAAAATTAGTATTCCGAGAGTACTTACACTGTTAATAATAGCAACATTAGTATTATTATAATACATTGTGAGAATTAAATGAGTGAACACAGGTAAAACAGAATGACCTAGAACATAGTAGGTGCTATGGTTTAAGGGTGTCCCCCAAAATTCGTGTGTTGGAAATTTAATCCCCAACACAACAGTATTGGGAGGTGGGGCCTAATGGGAGGTGCTTAGGCCGTGAGGGCTCTGCCCTCATGAATGGATTAATCTGCTATAAAGAGGATTGTGGGAGTGAGCCCTCTCTCTTCTGTTCCTCCTCCATGTGAGGACATAGTGCTCCCCCCTCCAGAGGATGCAGCATTCAAGGCACCATCTTGGAAGCGGAGGGCTCTCTTGCTGAGAACGTGAGGCTGAATGAGGGATGCAGAACTGCATGAGGCCACTGGATACCTTCCCTCCAGTGGATGCAGGACTTGAGAGGAGGTGAGTCTGGCTGGTCTGGGTGATGCCTGCTTGGAGCTACCTTTGCCAGCAGCCACAGGAATGTGCATTTCCCAAACCCCTTCCCAGTTGCCCTGACCCCTGGCAGAGTTAGGCAGGGGAGCCACATTTTCCCACAGCTCACAGTGCCTCTCCAGCAGTGGCTGCAGAAAGGCCTCTTTTTGTTTAGACTCTGTTTCCAAGGTCCGATCTCCTCAGCCAGCAAGGCTCTTCAGCTAATGATGTCCGTGGAGACAGAGGAGGCTGCTACACATAGCCTTGCCCAGGAGTCGCCCCAGGGAGAGCCATTTGCCAGGGGCAGTTTGGCCTGCAGTGGAGCAAGGTTGGTGAGCACATCCCCAGGGGCAGGAGGCCTGAAAGTCAGGGCTGAAGGAGCCTTTTCACGAGTATCCTGCAGCCGCCTCCTCCTTTTACTCAAGGAGGGGAGACAGGCCCAGAGACCTCTGTCACCAGGAGTCAGGGCAGAGCCAGGCCTGCAATGCAGGGCTGCTGCCTGCTCCATCCCCCTGGACAGTGGACCCCAAACTTGAGCAGGCATCAGCATCACCTGGAGGGCTTGGTTAATCACTGACCGAGGGGCCCCACCTCCAGGTTTTGATTCAGTAGGTCTGGCATGAGGCCTGGGGATTTGCCTTTTAACAAGTTCCCAGTGATGCCTATGCTGCTGGTCCAGGAACTGCACTTTGAAAATCATTATTTAGGAAGCTGCCTTGTGCCTAGAAAGGTGGGATGGAGCCCAAGAATGAGGTGCCGAGGAGGTAGGAATAGCAACTGCTTTCTGGAAGGAAATGGAGGACAGAGTAAAAATAAACTTGAAGGTTCTAGGATGGGCAGGCTTCAGGGGGAGGCTGGGCGGAGGAGGAAGAGGTGGAGCCGGGGTCCATTCAGACTAGAGTGAGGCAAGGTGCCTGGAAAACAAAACTTAAGAGACACTCACTCTCAGGTTTGTACAGGCACAAGGTCAGCAGCTGCAAGAACCTGAGAAGGACTGTCTCTTTAAATATTGTGGGCTGGGCGTGGTAGTTCACACCTGTAATCCCAGGACTTTGGGAGGCCAAGGCAGGCGGATCACGAGGTCAGGAGATGGAGACCATCCTGGCTAACACAGTGAAACCCTGTCTCTACTAAAAATACAAAAAAAAATGAGCCAGGTGTGGCGGCGGGTGCCTGTAGTCCCAGCTACTTGGGAGGCTGAGGCAGTAGAATGGCGTGAACCCGGGAGGCGGAGCTGGCAGTGAGCCGAGATTGCGCCACTGCACTCCCACCTGGGTGACAGAGCCAGACTCCGTCTCGAAAAAATAAATAAATAAATAAATAAATAAATAAATAAAAATAAAATAAACACTGTGCGCTAGCACCTGACTTGCTTCATTCCAGTCCCAGCTCTGCCCCTGAGGTCCCCATGTGTCTGTCAGGCTGTCAGGTCAGCAGTGCACTCAGTGTTTTCATGAGTAGCGACCTTCTGTGGGGCTCTGCATTCCTGATGGAAAACTCTTCTTGGTTAGAAGCATGACATTTAAAAGCCTAGGCCAGGAGGAAGGTAGGTGCACATGTGTGAAAGTGAGAGAAAGAGAAGACCTGGAAAGAAGGCAGCCAAAGTGACATACAGCAGTGTGTAGACTCCCTGCTAATTAAAGTGTGCTTCTTGGAACAGTGGCATCAACACCACCAGGGGAGCTTTAAAAAATTCCAGTGCCCAGGCCACACCCCAGAATCTACATTTTAGCAGGATTGCCAAGTGATGTAGGCACAGGAACATTGGGATCACCTGGAGAGTTTCATAAAATACTGATGCCTGGGCCGTGACCCAGAGATTCTGAAATCATTGCTCTGGGTTTGGCGTGTGCTCCGGGGTTTTAAAACCTCCCACGTGTTCTCAGGTGCCACGTAGTCTGAGCATCATTGGTGTAGACAGCTTCAGAGGTCTTTAGAATTGGTGTTGGAGGCAATGTGACATAGTAGAACTCACACAGGATTTTAGTATTTGGAGTGCAAATTCCAATCTTGACTCTGCCACTAACTAGCTATGTTGGCCTTGGCCAGATCATTTTTCTCTCTCAATTTCCTCAACAGTCAAATGGGAATATTAACAACCTCCCTGGACCAAAAAGTTAATTATGATTAATTATTAGAGTTCAAGGGAGTCTTGGGTAACATTTAGTCATGGATCCTCAATTTTACCCTTGAGAAAGCTTAAGACCTCTCTGGGTTTCAGTTTCTCCACTTGTAAAATTTAGAGATCGGACCACTAAGGGCTGGTTATGGTTTAAATGTGTCTCCCAAAAGCATATGTTGGAAACTTAATCCCCAGTGCAAGTGTTGGGAGGTGAGGACTAAAGAGAGAGGATTAGGGCATGAAGGTAAAGCAAATGTATTAATGCCATTATTGTGGGAGTGGGCTCCTTATAAAAGGACAGGTTCACCCCCCTCTTGATCTCTCTCACCTTCACTTTGCCTTCTGCCATGGGATGACGCAGCAAAAAGGCCTTCTCCAGATGTGGCCCCTTGATCTTGGACTTCCCAGCCTCCAGAACCATGAGCCAAAATATCCGTTCATAATACCCAGTCTGTGGTATTATGTTACAGCAGCATAAAACAGAGTAAAAGAGGCCTTTCTCGAACCCACTGTGCATGTTTCTCCCCTTGTGCAATGGTTCCTTCTGGCAGCAATTCCTGCCCTATCTTTCTTAATCCAGTGCTTCCTGCCTTTCCACTCAAGAGTGGCTCCAGCACCCCTTCCTCCAGGGTTCCCTCTCCCTGCATCCTTCATCCTGGTCTAATTAAACTATAGGTTTACATCTCTTATAGGCTGAGTTTACATCTTTTAGGGAACCTTCCCTGACTCTCTCCTATCAGGCCCAGGTTAGAGGCACCCTATTCTCCCTAGTCCCTCTAGCCCTTTCTCTTGTCTGATCACCAAACGGATTATAAGAGCCCTGTGGGCACTCTCCCTGTCTACATTGTATCTCCAGTAGGTATTCATCAATTAAGTGTCTGAGAGTTAAAGGAACGGCATTGGGAGTCTGTGATCAATTGATTTCACAATGAACTCTTGCTCAAAACTTGTAGCCTTTGCCATCTCGATTCAACTCAATGTGTAGAAGGTAACTGAAGCATGAGGAAGGTCTCATTAATTTCATTAATTTAGGTCTCTTCCCTCCTGACACTAACCTCAATTATCTAACTGCTGGAGGAACAGTTTTCTGGATGGTGAAAGAGCAACTGATTTATAAGCCTCGGTGGATCTCAGCCATAACCTCTGTTTAGAAAGCACTTTCCTATCTGCTGGCTGCGGCTGGAAAGATGGCAGGGCTGGAATGGTTATAATCCCACAACAACAGGAATTGCTTGAGGGCTGGCATTGTGTCTGTTTGGTTCACTGAAGTATCCTTGGCACATGGTAAGCACTCAGTAAATATTAATATCTGCTCAATAAGAAGCCTCATATCAATACAGATGACAGAAAGAGAGACTTTGGAGGGCTGGGTGGCTCACCCAAGCCCACAAAGCTGGAGCTTCAGAACTGAGAAGTCCCAACTTCCTGTGCAAGGCCCTTTCTACTCTCCAGGACATGCAGTATCTGACCTGGTGCAGAATTTATGCTCCAAAATGTACCAACTTTTTATGTCCCTTTCACTCACACCGCATCACTTCAAGGGCTGGAGTGATGGTACTCAATGCTGGTGCCTTGCAGAAGTCTTAGGAACACATTTTCCCACAGCCCAGCATCTTTGGCTTCGGCCCCTGTGGAGCCAATGTGCTGGTGTGATTGAGCGTGCCCAGTGACAGTCTGCTTTCTGGTTAGATTCGTAACTGCCCATCTCACTGTAAGCACAAAGCAAAAGGGTCCCCCCACCCCCTGCTCCAGCCCTCAGCTCAGCATCTGGCAGGGACACTTAGTGCTCAAAGAGAAGAGCAAAGAGAGGCTAAACGAAGCATTTTGCACTTTCTTCTAAGTCAGGCAGGGGCAGATGGTGGCTGTGACATGGCAATGGCAGGGGGATCAGTCAGCGTGAAAACCATCCCCTCCCTTATCCTCCAGCAGTAATTGATGGGAAACCATGACACCTGCCCAGAGAAGTCAACGGCCAGCTCCCGATCACATTTCCCAGTTTCTTTTAACACTTGCTGTTAACAGGACAGTTGGTGACCTATAGAGGATTTGGCTTTTAGTCTTAGCTCCACCACTAACTTACCAATTCAACCTGAGTAAGTCAGTCTATACTATCCAGGAAAAGCTGCCTTAAAGGAGTGGAAATGAATGACAGCAGTAGCGATTATTAGTATAGTACTTGATAATTTTTAAAGTACGTTCACATACATCATTTCATTTAGTCTTGAGAGCAAGCCTGTGTGCCCATTTTGCAGAGGAGCAAGTAGAAAAATGGGTTAAAGACTTGCCCATGGTCAGTCGCACAAGCCTATGAGGCATGACAGGGACTTGAATCCATGTATTCTGACTAAAACTCTCATTTTTTCCTTTTTTTTTTTTTTTTTAATTTTGCTTTGGTCTTGTTCTGTCACCCAGGCTGGAGTGCAGTGGCATAATCACAGCTCACTGCAGCCTCAACCTCCTGGGCTCAACCAGTCCTCTCATCTCAGCCTCCCAAGTAGCTGGGACCTCAGGCATATGCCACCATGCCCAGCTAATTTTTGTAATTTTTGTAGAGACAGGGTTTCACCACATTGCCCAGGCTGGTCTCCAACTCCTGGGCTCAAGTGATCCACCTGCCTCAGAGTCACAAAGTGCTGGGATTACAGGCGTGAGCCACTGTACCCGGCCTCACTTTTTTCTCTTCGTTTCCAGTCAACTGACTTGGACAAACATTTCCTGATCATATACTGCATGCAAGGCATTGTGAACAAGACAACACGTGAACAGGCCATGGTTCCTGCCCCCTAGAAGCCCAGAGTCCAGTGGCAGGATCAGGCACATACTTTACCAGCAACCCTGTGGGGAAGGGACCAAGCAACAGAGGGTGGCCACAGCAGAAGTGTTACAGGACAGGGGTCCGGATCCAGACCCCAGGAGGGGGTTCTTGGATCTCCTACAAGAAAGAATTCAGGACGAGTCCGCAGTGCAAAGTGAAAGCAAGTTTATTAAGAAAGTAAAGGAATAAAAGAATGGCTACTCCATAGACAGAGCACCCCTGAGGGCTGCTGGATGCCCATTTTTATGGTTATTTCTTGATGATATGCTAAACAAGGGGTGGATTATTCATGCCTCCCCTTCTTAGACCATATAGGTCGACTTACTGAAGTTGCCACGGCATTTGTAAACTGTCATTGCGCTGATGGGAGTGTAACAATGAGGATGACCAAAGGTCACTCTTGTCACCATTTTGGTTTTGGTGGGTTTTGGGCGGCTCCTTTACTGCAAACTGTTTTATCAGCAAGGTCTTTATGACCTGTATTTTGTGCTGACCTCCTATATCATCCTGTGACTCAGAATGCCTTAACTGTCTGGGAATGCAGCCCAGTAGTGTTCAGCCTCATCTTACCCAGCTCCTATTTAAGATGGAGTTGCTCTGGTTCACAAGCCTCTGACAGAAGGTGTGGATGGCCCTATCAGTGTGGAGTGGGTATGGCTGCATGAAGGGGGTGATGTGTAACACTCCCTGGAAGAAGGAGTAGGGGCTCAGTAGGAAAGAGAGAGGGTGGAAGAGTCAGAGACATGTCACTGTCAGACACTAGGAGTGTGCAGAGGGGACAGAGGGTTCCCAGTGTCCAAAGATACAGTAGGAGGGAAGGCTGGAAGTTTCACTGACCCAGAGCAGAAAGAGACCAAAGAATTCAAATTTCTTTCTGCATGTGGCTGGGAAATTGAAAGGCTTTAAACACTGTCACCTAGCTCAGATTTACTTTAAAAATTAGTTTTAAAATGATGTTCTTGCACATATTGTTTACAAACAGAAGCAAAGGGAAAAATAAAAGTTACCTTTAATCACCTTGTCCAAAGATAACCAATATTTTCTATGAATAGATATATTTTTCTAAAATGTCATCATACAGTTAATATTCCTTTGTAAACTTTTTTTATTATTTTGTGAACATCTTTCATGACATTAAATATCCTTCTTCAACCATGGTTCTAATTTTTGGAGACTCATAGACTCCTCTAAAGATCTGATGAGCACAGACCCTCTCCCCAGAAAATGCACATTCCCAAATACACACCCGTCATGTCTGCCAGACAGAAATGCGGGCCCAGGGTTGCCATTTCTTTGGATTCTTCTAGAGAGCTGGAAATACATTTCTCATGTTAAATCTTCTGATTTTTAAAGGTTGGCAACTAACTCAAAATATTAAAAAATAAAAGCAAAACAAAAACTCTGTGGGGACCAAATAAACTTGTTGAAGGTCTCAGTCTCTTCTGGGGAAGCTGGTTTATAATCTCCGGCCAAGGCCAAGGTTGAAGGGATTTAGGGCTTATATAGTCAGATATGTTTCCAACCTCATCTCCCATGCCACACCTTCTCACAGAGCCAAAACGCTCTCCACAATTCCCACTCCCACACCTCTGCTCATGCAGATTTCACACATGAAATGCCCCCCACTGTCCAAATCCCACCCAATCTTTGCAGGGCTTTACGACTCTGCTCCTTGGACACTTGCCATGCCTCTCTCTGTTCCTGGCCACTTGTCCCCTGCTAGACTGGGAACTCCTAGAAGCAGCACCATTTGATTCATCTCTTTGTACCCACCCTCCCCCATGCAGGACCCCCAAAGAGGCTGGAGTGGATGCTCAGGAAGCACTATCAGGGGTGTCAGACCCATCAGCATTTATCCTGGTGCAAGTGAATTCTTCCCTAAAGCAGACAGATGGATAATTACAGCCTGGCTTTAGCAATCTGCTATGCATTCACCCCTCAGGGTGTGTGAATTGCTGTGGAGTTCTTATGGGGGAAGGGGAGGACCAGAAAGTGACTCTAAAAGGAAGATTTAAAAGGAGGAGCAAAGGTAGAAAAGCTTTTGTAAAAATCTGGAGCCCTGCCTTTAAGCCATGGAGAAAAGAAGACAGAACCAGACAGGTGCAATCAGGAGGCCCAGCCCTGCCCTGCCATGACTCTGGACAGGAGGCTTCCCCTCTCTGAACAGAAGGTGCATAGCCAGATCACCTCCTAGGGCCTCTCCTTTCCAAGATAATAAGATGCTGCACGGCAGTCAAGGGGATTTATGGTATCCCTGGTTAACCCAATCCAGAGGCTACAGGCACTGACTTCCAGTGGTCTCTCTCTCTGATGGGGCCTCTAGAAGGGAAAATGTTTAGCCAGGAGCTGTCCCACAGAGCCCATTAGCACAGCTGCCCCTGCTAACCCTAGAGGCGATTGCTTGGTGAGGTCCTGCAGGCCCCAAAATGTTTCCAGGCCAAGGGAGATCATGCTGCTGGGCAGACTCCAGGACCAGCTCGAAATTCCTCCCGTGGCATCGAGAAGCAGTGCTAAGATAGTTAGTACCTACAGGACCTTGAACAGGCCACAAAAACTCCCTGAGCCTCAGTTTCTCCATCTGTAAGATGTGAATGATAAACCCAGTTCTGCTTGACAGTTGAGATTTTGACATTAAAAAGTCCAGCACAGAGCCTGGCACATGGCAGATGCCTAAGAAATGTTAGGCCTCCTTGTCTGTTGGGCCTCAACTTGATAGGAACAAGTCAGACTTTGGACACAGCCCCAGGCAATTCTGCAGATACCAGGAACCCGGCTTTACCTTCAACAGAAAGACCCCAGCCTTGCCGTGATTCAGTCTTAGCGAAAAACATCCTAGCAGGACAAGCGGGCATAGGATGGTGACTGCAGTGGGGAGAATTGAATGCCAAAGGGAGAAGAGAAGCTGGATCGGGTGTGGAGTACATGAAACCCCTCACTGGGTGTCCGAGATTGTTAGTCACAGTGACCCCAGCCAAGGGGCTTTCTTAATTATCTGGACCAAGCCTCAGACCCTGAGCAGGGCCCAGCTGGCACTTTCCAATGGCAAAGACTGGTGACCCCATGAGAAGGGACATTAGACAGAGTGAAGCTAGAACCCCCAGTTCACAAATGAGGAAACTGAGGCTTACAGTGGAGAGGTGAGTGCTCAGAGGCAGGGCTGGCACTCAAGTTTCCTGAGTCCTTCCTGGGCACCCGCTGCCTACCAGGAGAGGAAACCAGGAGGCAGGATAGGATAATGGCTTCGGGCACACAGACCCAAGAATTGAGAAAGAAGAAACCATTGCAAGTGTCAAGTGGAACATTGCACCCCCCTCCCCACCCCGACACCAGGCACTCTGCTCACCTGTGTCGTGCAATGTCTGCCTTCTAAAACCAGCCAGTTTAGCATCACGGACTTTAGTCTTAAAAGTTAATCACTATGTTCCTGCCTACATTTTTTAAGCTCTGGTTTATGTGTTCAACATGCATGCCTCATCTCAACCTCTGCTGCTTTCCCCATGCACTGCTTGCTTCACTGCTGTACTCTTGAATCCTGCCTCAGTACCCAGGACATAGAAAAGTCTGCATAAATGCATGTTAGTAGAGGGACAAGTTCATTCATTTATGAGCAGGTTCTGTGGCCAGGCCCTTTGCCAGGTGCTGGGGGCACAGAGATACATATGAGTGGCTCCCTCATCCTGGAGAGCAGCCTCCATGGCTTAGCTGCTGCCACATGTGGCTCCCTTGATTGGAGGCTCTCTGAGAGCTGATAGCCTACGTTACTCAGTTCTGTTCCCCATGGCACAGGTCTAGCTCAGAGCAGGGACTCAGAGGCCATGGGATTAGGGGAGCAGAGAAGCAGATGTTTCGACTCTGCCTTTTGACACCAAGAAATTTTTACCTTGAAGAAAAGTCAGTAAGCTAGAACTGCTGCAACCCTTTGATGTCTGTCTCCATCTCTCTCTGTATCTCTCCTTCTCTGTTTTTGTCACTCTCCTTTCCCCCTTCCCTTCCATCTTTCCTCCCTCTTAATGTCTGCCCTAGTTCATAAATTTGCTCACATTTTTTTCATGGGTTAACTTAGAAATAAAGATAAGCTCTTAGTCATTTACCCAACATGTGATCATAATGACTGGTGGCAGTAGTCAGCATAAAATGTTGACAGGGGCTAGAAGTCCACGGGGTGGAAATTTTTATTGACTAAAAATTGACCAAAGCTTCAAATCTTCTTGACACTATGTTGATTGGCTCGATACGACCCAGGAAACTTGGGCTTGGTGGAAATAATGGCCATAAAAGAAAAAAAAAAATGACACTCTCATAAGTCAATTTTTAAAAAACAAACTGACTGGTAAACCAAGTCTTCATGGTGAAACAGTTTGATTGAAATAATTTTAGTAAGACCAAAATGGGAATGGGAAAACTTGAGAAGAAAACGAAACTGAAAAGTAATCAAATTAGTCAATTAACTTTATGGTGCTTCCTTTAAAAAATAATTTTTCCATAAGAATTAATCAGTGTTGATATAATTCTTATTAAACTGTTGATAGCAGCAGAGTCCAATCCCCAGGCTTGTGGTGCAGTGAGGGAGACATGGATGACTGGCCTTGTTTTACCTGCCTACCATCTCTTATTACTCACTGTGCACACGCAGATGCCTGTGATGGGCTGCCTGGTTCCTCCTGATTTGTAATCATCATTGTCTTACCAGTGATTTTTGTACTTCCAAACGAGTTGAGTTTTTACACTAATCACTGCCTCTTTAATCAATTAATGAGAATTAAAAGGTCATCTATCATTGGAAATTGCAACTGGCATCACCAAAGCACTACATTGGCCCACAGATGCTAAAGAATTGCATCCTACGTGAATAATTGTACTTTGGCTTTAATGAGATTTTATTAACATATGCATTATTAATTAGACCATTAATGCAGATGTCATTTTGAGTCACACCAGGATTCCCGATGGCTCACATGGTTATTAAACCTTGCTAGTTTGCACAGTGAATTAATATTATATTAAAGGTTCTCTCCACTGTGTATACTAAATTAAAATGCTTACTTTCAACGTCTCACCCACAGCATCCACGCATACTTGTTAGGGAAAGGAATAAGAGGGAAAGATTTCCATTGTAAGACCTGAGAGCTTTCTGTCTTGCAAATAACTTTGGTGTCTGCAAGTAGATAGAGAAGGAGAAGCTTAGGGAGTGGAGAAGAGAGAGGAAATCCCTCCCCCACGCCCCACACCACGAAGGGGCCTACTGTTCTTTAATTAGCAAGGTTTCCTAATGTGTCTAAAATAGAATATTTAAACTTTTTCTCACTATAAAGTATCATGTATTTATTGTAAATGATTTAGGAAATACGCATACACAAAAATGAGAACGTTTTCATTACCCATTCTTTCAGCACTCAGTAATTACCATTCTGAATATTCTCGTGTGATATTTTAGTCTACTTTCTCTATACTTAGACATCCTTTTACACAAACAAAATAATACTCTACGTACTGTTTTAGAACCTGCCTTTTTAACTTAATATTTCTTGGATACCTTTCCATATCATTTAATGTTCTTCTAGAGCATCAATTATCACATTACACATATCGATCTATGTGATTCTTTTCTATGGCTGTGGGTTGGTCAGCTTTGTGTGTCACACTGGCTAGGCTACAGTCCCCTAGTTATTCAGTCAAACACTAATTTAGATATTGCCATGAAAGCATTTTGTAGATGTGATTAAGGTCCATAATCAGTTGTCTGTAAGTAAGGGAGATTATCCTGGACAATCTGGGTGAGCCTGACTCAATCTATTGGAATGCCTTAAGAGCAAACCTGAGGTCCTCTGAAGAAGAAGAAATCCTACCTGTGGACTGCAGCTTCAGATGATGCCCAAGAGTCCCAGCCTGCCTTTCCTGCTGGCTGCCTTACAGATTTTGAACTCTCCTAACCAGACCCCACAACTATGTGAGCCAATTCCTTGCAAGCAAGCAACAAGCAATAAATGAATATATAACCTACTGGTTATGTTTCTCTGGTTGATCCCTGATGAATGCAGGCTGTGTAGGATTTTACTACATGGCCCTACCGTAATTTATTGAACCAATCCCCCATTGTTGGACATTGGGCTGGATTGTCTTGTTGTCAACTTGGCACCATCTCCTGTTTCAGGCTGGAATGATGCTTCCCAGTATGTTGTTTGCTGTGTGTGTTTCCAGGATGGGGATTACTGATGGGAGAAACCCACGCAAAATTTGGAAGGAAGAAGGAAAAGGGAAGCCACTGCTGCTGGGAGGGAATGCCAGTCAGGCACAGTGGCAGCGTCACTAGGCATGGCAGCTTCAACGGACACCAAAGCTTTGCCGACCACCCCGTGAACTCTCACCCCATGGATGCACTTTGGTGGCCAGATGCATGCAGTTCCTCAGACTTTCCCACAAGCTCGTCCCCGCCAGCTGCACCTGGCTTCAGACAGAAGTGGTTACCAATGGTTTCTCCAATGCTTCAACATTCCCTTTCTAGAACCTCACTGTCACTACTACTCCCAGATTTGCATAAGCCCCAACTCCTGTGTTAAACCCTTTATTCCCATAATACTTATAATAGCTCTGTTTTCCTCAATGAAACCACTAGTTGTTCAGGGGAACTGGTCTTTAAGAATGGGAATGTGAAATTCTTTCACTACTATTAGAATTAAGGGCAGAAATGTCACCATTGCAAAATCATGGTAGTCCATGGCACAAAGTGGCAAAACATTTCCTTAAGTTATTACCTGTAGTCACCTGAAGTCAGGTACGTGGAGAAAAAGTCAGGTGACCGACTAGCTGCTGTAACAGAACAGTGGAAACAGCATGTAAGGACTGTAGGTTAGTTAGCTACTTCTGACTGTGATGATGAATTTGAAAAAAGAAAATGGTGACCTTGGGCTTAAAGTGACCAACTCAAGGCCAGGTAGGAAAAGACAAGGCTTTGATGACTGCCCTGAAATAATCCTTTGGTTCAAGGTCACAGAAATCATTGACCTGACCACATCCTCTAAACAGCAGGCCTGATACAACAATGGATTGGCCTTTGATAGACTCATTTATGGCACCTGCCAAGTGACAAACCTTTGCAGGGCTGAGGTAATGTCCTGTGGAATGGGGTATATGCTCTAACTCAGTGACCAATGTCTGCTACTGTTTCTCCCACAGCTAGCATTCATGGGTCCAGGAATCAATGGAAGGAAACAGAAGTAGTTCATACCACAACTACCCTTAATGAAGCACAAGCAACATTTTCATTTCTATCATTGTGGCTTTGAGCTCCCTGGTGCAGAAGTCTTGATTCCCAAAGGAAAGCCACTTCCATCAATGGACACAACCATAGTCCACTGAACTGGAAGCTCAGACTGCCCCCTGGCTACTCTGGGCCCCCCGTGCCATTTAACCAAGAGGCAAGGAAGGAGGTAGTGTCCTCACTGGAGTGATTAGTCCTGATTACCAAAGGGGAAGTAAGCTGCTACTACACGATGAGGACAAAGAGGAGTCTTTCTGGAACCCAGGAGATTTTTCTGGAATGCCTCTTAATACCCCCATGGCTTATGGTAAACGTTCATTAAAATAACAGCATAGGCTGGGTGCGGTGGCTCACGCCTGTAATCCCAGCACTTTGGGAGGCCGAGGCGGGCGGATCACGAGGTCAGGAGATCGAGACCATCCTGGCTAACACGGTGAAACCCCATCTCTTCTAAAAACACAAAAAATTAGCCGGGTGTGGTGGCTGGGGCCTGTAATCCCAGCTACTTTGGAGGCCAAGGCAGGAGAATGGCGTGAACCCAGGAGGCGGAGCTTGCAGTGAGCCGAGATAGCGCCACTGCACTCCCGCCTGGGCGAAAGAGCGAAGACTCCGTCTCAAAAAAAATAATAAAATAAAATAAATAACAGCATAGTCTAATGCCGTAGGCTCTTCAGGAATGCAGATGTGAGTTTTCCACCAGGCAAGGAACCATAACCAGCCAAGGTGCTTACTAAGGGCAAAAAAGTTTAAGAAGGGAAGTGGAAGGAAGTATAGCAGGAAATTTCAATGTTCCAAAAGCTAAGTATACAGTTTCCCCTGCTTTAATGGAGTCCTCATATTGTGAGATATTCAAAATAGCAAGTTCTCCTAGCTTAGGTTTCATAAATCTTCAAATGACAAAAAACCAGTTTGACCACAACTTTCCCAAGCCTTCTGTACTGAGTGAGGAAGTGTCCATCTTTACCCTGTTCAGGGCACACATCTCTGTCCTCAGAGGTCCAACTGCCGGTTCACATGGCATCAGAAGGCAAATGAGAAAAAGATGCCCCTTTCCCACATGAAGTTTCAAAAGAGTTACATTATTAATTTTTTTTTTTTTTTTTTTTGAGATGGAGTCTTGCTCTGTCACCCAGGCTGGAGTGCAGTGGTGCAATTTCGGCTCACTGCAGCCACCGCCTTCTGGGTTCAAGTGATTCTCCTGCCTCAGCCTCCTAAGTAGCTGGGATTACAGGCATGCACCACCACGCCCGGCTGATTTTTGTATTTTTAGTAGAGACGGGGTTTCACCATGTTGGCCAGGCTGGTCTCGAACTCCTAACCTCAGGTGATCCACCTGCCTCAGCCTCCTAGAGTGATGGGATTACAGGCATGAGCCACCACACCCGGCCCATTATTTCTTAATAATCATTATTATAACAGTCATTTTGTATATGTAACAAAAAGAAAATTGTAGAACATCAAAGAACACTCGAAATTCATTGAGCTGTATACTTAAAATTTCTGTACCGTATGTACATTAAACCAAAATACAGGATGTTAAATGAAATAGAAATTTTAAACTCATACTCACTGTAATTAGAACTAGAATATGATTGTTTTAAAATTGCTAAATATGTTGTACAGCACCCCTTTTATGCCCCACCTCACATCCTCTAGGCAACCTTTTCTACTCCAGCTGTTTTTGAGACAACCAGCTGTGTGCAAGTTTAACCTGAGAGCAGCTCACTCAGTCGCCCCTGTTCCCTCCTCAACCCTCTTGTTTTTGGCTTCTGGGGCTTTTCTGCTGTGGCCACATACGGCATTCTGACAAATGTGCAAACTTTGAAGTACAAGGGAGTTAACCTCTCACAGGGCAGCAACCTTTGATCAAAGGGGGATTGGCACAGGTGCAGAAATATACCCTTCTTCTGCCCCATGGCAGATGGTTCTGGAAGGCATTCAACATGGCTCCTCACAGGGTCCCACCAGATGGAGCGCAGGTGTTCAGGGTGGTGTCCAGCTGCATAGCTTGGATAGATTTTTTTTCTTTTTCACATTTTACAGTTCACTGGGGGTCAGTTCCCACAAATAAACCACACACCCGCAAACCTTTGTTTTAGCCTCTGCTTTTCAGGGAAATCTAAGCTAAGACAGGCATCTTGCTTTCATGAACACAAATTATAATCATTTTAACACTCACTTGCTCCAATATCTCATTTTCCCTAGAACTGGTTGCTAGATTTGACAGATTACAAACCTTAAGTAATTTAAAATACATTTTAATTTCAGGAAGCTATGTTCTCCATTGGCAACCAATATTGGCAAAGTTAAATATGTTCTGAGAGCCATAAAAGTGTTCAGAAATACATTTAGTAAATTATTGATGCAAGTGTATTGCTCAACATCAATGGGAGAGTTTAGAAAACAATTTAAGGTTTTAGCTCCTCACAAGTTGATGCCCTATCAACAGCATAGCAGTTAATTTCCATTGTAAATTTTTTTTTTTTTTTAAATTTATTTTTTTATTGATAATTCTTGGGTGTTTCTCACAGAGGGGGATTTGGCAGGGTCATGGGACAATAGTGGAGGGAAGGTCAGCAGATAAACAAGTGAACAAAGGTCTCTGGTTTTCCTAGGCAGAGGACCCTGCGGCCTTCCGCAGTGTTTGTGTCCCTGATTACTTGAGATTAGGGATTGGTGATGACTCTTAACGAGCATGCTGCCTTCAAGCATCTGTTTAACAAAGCACATCTTGCACCGCCCTTAATCCATTTAACCCTGAGTGGACACAGCACATGTTTCAGAGAGCACAGGGTTGGGGGTAAGGTCACAGATCAACAGGATCCCAAGGCAGAGGAATTTTTCTTAGTGCAGAACAAAATGAAAAGTCTCCCATGTCTACTTCTTTCTACACAGACACGGCAACCATCCGATTTCTCAATCTTTTCCCCACCTTTCCCGCCTTTCTATTCCACAAAGCCGCCATTGTCATCCTGGCCCGTTCTCAATGAGCTGTTGGGCACACCTCCCAGACGGGGTAGTGGCCGGGCAGGGGGGCTCCTCACTTCCCAGTAGGGGCGGCCGGGCAGAGGCGCCCCTCACCTCCTGGACGGGGCGGCTGGCCGGGCGGGGGGGCCGACCCCCCCCCACCTCCCTCCCGGACGGGGCGGCTGGCCGGGCGGGGGGCCGACACCCCCACCTCCCTCCTGGACGGGGCGGCTGGCCGGGCGGGGGGCCGACCCCCCCACCTCCCTCCCGGACGGGGCGGCTGGCCGGGCGGGGGGCCGACCCCCCCACCTCCCTCCCGGACGGGGCTGCTGGCCGGGTGGGGGGCCGACCCCCCCACCGCCCTCCCGGAAGGGGCGGCTGGCCGGGCAGAGGGGCTCCTCACTTCCCAGTAGGGGCGGCCGGGCAGAGGCGCCCCTCACCTCCCAGACGGGGCGGCTGGCCGGGCGGAGGGCTGACCCCCCCACCTCCCTCCCGGACAGGGCGGCTGGCCGGGCGGGGGGCTGACCCCCCCACCTCCCTCCCGGACGGGGCGGCTGGCCGGGCAGAGGGGCTCCTCACTTCCCAGTAGGGGTGGCTGGGCAGAGGCGCCCCTCACCTCCCAGACGGGGCGGCTGGCCGGGCGGAGGGCTGACCCCCCCACCTCCCTCCCGGACGGGGCGGCTGGCCAGGCGGGGGGCTGACCCCCCCCACCTCCCTCCCGCACGGGGCGGCTGGCCGGGCTGAGGGGCTCCTCACTTCCCAGTAGGGGCGGCCGGGCAGAGGCGCCCCTCACCTCCCGGACGGGGCGGCTGGCCGGGTGGGGGGCTGACCCCCCCACCTCCCTCCCGGACGGCATGGCTGGCTAGGCGGGGGGCTGATCCCCCCACCTCCCTCCCGGACGGCACGGCTGGCTAGGCGGGGGGCTGACCCCCCACCTCCCTCCCGGATGGGGCGGCTGGCCGGGGGGGGGGCTGACCCCCCCCACCTCCCTCCCGGACGGGGTGGCTGCCGGGCGGAGACGCTCCTCACTTCCCAGATGGGGTGGCTGCCGGGCGGAGAGGCTCCTCACTTCTCAGACGGGGCAGCTGCCGGGCGGAGGGGCTCCTCACTTCTCAGACGGGGTGGTTGCCAGGCAGAGGGTCTCCTCACTTCTCAGACGGGGCGGCCAGGCAGAGACGCTCCTCACCTCCCAGACGGGGTCTCGGCCGGGCAGAGGCGCTCCTCACATCCCAGATGGGGCGGCGGGGCAGAGGCGCTCCCCACATCTCAGACCATGGGCGGCCGGGCAGAGACGCTCCTCACTTCCTAGATGTGATGGCGGCTGGGAAGAGGCGCTCCTCACTTCCTAGATGGGATGGCGGCCGGGCGGAGACGCTCCTCACTTTCCAGACTGGGCAGCCAGGCAGAGGGGCTCCTCACATCCCAGACGATGGGCGGCCAGGCAGAGACACTCCTCACTTCCCAGACGGGGTGGCGGCCGGGCAGAGGCTGCAATCTCGGCACTTTGGGAGGCCAAGGCAGGCGGCTGCTCCTTGCCCTCGGGCCCCGCGGGGCCCGTCCGCTCCTCCAGCCGCTGCCTCCCGGGCGGCGCTCGCCGGCGCGGCGGCAAAGACTGAGACAGCTCCGCTGCCCGCTGAACTCCATCCTCCCGGCGGTCGGGCGGCGGCGGCTGCGGTCGGTCGCGGCAGCGGCTCCGCTTCATATCTGCAGCTGGGGCCCGCGGGCGTCAGCGCCGCGACTGTCCCGGCTCCGCACTGCCCCGGGCCGCAGCGCAGCCGCGCCAACCACTACCCGCGGCCACCATGGCCGGACGGGCTCCCTAAGCCACCGACCCCAGCCCGCGGCGCCTTCGAGCCTTCTGGGGCCTCCGGCGCCGCGACCTCCTCTCCATTGTAAATTTTCACATACAGTAGTCCAATTTCATCAAAATTCTTCAAATTATATGTCATTTAGAAGAATGAAAGACCATAATATTTTTCAGCATTACAAACCCTTCTTCTAAAAATAATATTCTATTCAAGTTCTATTTAAAAATATTATATACAACTTGATTTTGAAATTTTATATGGGTCATAATCATGCTGATTACAGAATTCACAGTTAAAATTGGTCTTCTGACTTTTTTTCTCATATTCTCTTCCTTAAAGAAGTTGGCATCAATGATCTCCAACTTGTTTAACATTAAGAATATATTTTCTTAAATATCATCATTTAATTTTTCTTTAAATAAGTTTTAATTCCTTCCATGCTTTCAAATGCATTTTGGTTCCTGTATCTTCTTACTTCTACTACTAATTTTACAGAAAACTGTCAAATTGGAACTAAGAAATGGAATTTAAACGTGGATATTTTTGAGAGTATGTCTCCGGACTGCATTCTACAATCTATATTTTTGTAAACTAGGTCTCTCAATTACAAAAGTTGTTCCTCCTTCAAAAGTAGAAATGAAACAATATGAATCAACACAGTTAGAACAAGGCATTATACTTCCATCTGCCAGAAAATTGTCATAAATGTGAATACAACCCATCTTGAAAGTGAAAAATATATAATAACAATATTTTCTAATTTTCAAAACAATGAAGTTGCTTGCAAAGCAAATGGTGCCCTGAGACATGACACCTTTGTGCAGTGTACAACTTGAACAGCTGCACATGAAAGCCCTGTGGGCAATGTATCTTCTTAGCATTTTAGGCCTCCCCCATAAACTGGCTCTAGCCTACATTTCCACTGTCCCACTTCACATGCCCTCTGCTCCAGCTTAAATAACCATTTTCTATACCAGGCCTTGCTCGTGCTGTGCTGTCTGCTTTGGATGCCATTCCTGCCCTTCGGCTGTGTAGTGACATCTTACCCAGTAAACAGCTCCCTCTCCCAAGCCTCCAGAACATTGTTTGCAAGTCATTTGGGCCCATGCTCCTGACCAGACTATGAACTCTCCAAAACAGGGAATAGATCTACAGATCTATTCCATCTCAGCTTTCTGGGAGTCAAGCCTAGCTCACAACAGGCTCAGAAAAGTGGGGTGAATTGAAGAATGACTAGGATCCAGGAAACTCTTTGAGGATCATGGCATTTCTTGGTGGTGGCACTGGCTGCTACTGGTATGATGACAGGGCTGATTCTCTGAGGACCCTTCACAGGGGGACCCCTGTCCTGGGGAGTAGGGAGGCAGGGAACTATAAGGAATAAACTTGCTTCATCAACCTTCCCTGCAGCTGAGATCTTCTGCAGACCCAGGGCCTTTGGTAACTGCCTCAGCAATTTAGCATTTATTGAGCACCTACAGTGTGCTTGGCTCTGAGATAAGCCAGGCAGACTCTGCCCCAAGGAATTCACAATTTGATAAGGAAAACACATGTGGATTTGTGATGACAGCCCAGTGTGTTTGTGTCAAGTGCTTTGCTAAAGGGAAAGTGCGTTAGTCTGGGTTCCCAAGAGAAACAGAGAGAGAGAGAAACAGAGAGAGAGAAAGAGTGAGAGAGAGAGAGAGAGAGAGAGAGAGAGAGAGAGAGAGAGAGAGAGACTATAGAGAACTGGCTTATGCAGTTATGGAGGCTCCGAAGTGCCAAGAATGCTGTTGACAAGCTAGAGATTCAGGAGAGCCAATGGTGTAAGTTCTAGGCTGCATTTGAGTCTGAAGGCACATGAGAACCAATGTCCCAGCTCAAAGGCAGAGCAAAATAATCCTTTCTTACTCAGTCTTCTATTCTATTCAAGTTTTCAACAGGTTGGATAAGGCCCCCTCACACTGGGGAAGGCAGTCGGCTTTACTGCCTACCAGTTTAAATGTTCATCCATCCAGAAACACCTTCATGGACACACCCAGAAATAATGTTTAACCAAATAACTGGGCACTCCATGGCCCAGTCAAGTTGACACATAAAATGAACCATCACAGAAGGACTATTTGATGCAGGCACACATCAGGCAGCTCCTGGAGAAAGAGAGGTGAAAGCTGAGATTAAGATTGAGGAAGAGTTCTTCAGGGGAGAAAGTCTAGGGGAGAAATTCCAGGCAGAGGAGACAGCACGTACAAATGCAAGATGTGGAAGAGCCTGTCCTTTTGGGAGAACTATGAGTTATTTGGTATGAGTAGGGTGATAGATAGGCCCTTGAGACAGGTACAAGCCAAATCATGATGACTGGGAGTTTATACTTTATCCTGAAACCAGTAGGGACCCTTTGGTAGCAGGTAAGCAGCAGAGTGACATGGGCAGATTGGAATTTTAGGAAGATCATCTGGACATGATCCACAAGCCCTGAAGGCTGAGCCAAGCAAAATGACCCCGAGGATTCACAAAAAGGAACAGCAGATGATATGGTTTGGATATTTGTACTCTCCAAATCTCGTGTTGAAACGTAATCCCCAGTGTTGGAGGAAGGGCCGGGTGGGAGGTGATTGGATCATAGGGGTGGATCCCTCATGAATGGTTTAATGCCATCCCTTTGGTGATAAATGAAATTTTGTTCTGTTATTTCACACGAGATCTAGTTGTTTAAAAGTCCAGGGCTCTCCTGGCATTGCTCTCTTGCTCCTGCTCTTGCCATGTGGCATATCTGCTCCCACTTCACCTTCCTTCATGACTGTAAGATTCCTGAGGCCCTCCCCCGAAGCCGAGCAGATGTTGGTGCCATGCTTGTACAGCCTGCAGAACCGTGAGCCAAATTAACCTCTTGTCTTTATAAATTACCTAGTCTTAGGTATTCCTTTCTGGTAATGCAAAAAAACGGCCTAACACAGAGGGCATATGGGTCGCCCAGAGATCTTAAGTCACAGTTTCTGATTCAGTAAGTGTGGAATGGGGCCTCAGATACTGCACTTCTAATAAACCCCCAGAAGATGCTGATACTACTGGTCCATGAACCACACTTGGAGGAGCAAGGGAATGAAAGCTATTTGCCAGCCAAGTCACTGGGGGCTGTTAATTTTTAGAACACCTCCTATATGCCCAGGCTTTCACTCACACAGGGTTGAAACCATTTTCACTGGGCCCTGCCTGTCCTACCCCTCCCCCATATACACAGAGGAATCAGGGGGTGCCTACATCCTGAGGTGGGAGCAGAGGGTCACTGGTAGATGGACCTTGGGTCACAAGGTCATGTGACTCAGGCTGGTGTACAAGCAGCTCCTAGTCCTGCAATAAGCATTAAAGAGATGCATTCATCACACAGCTCTGGAGTGCTGTGCTTCACTCAGAGAGAGAGACTATGGTAAACCATAACACATCAGGAATGGGTGAACAGGATGGAAGAGGATCCAATTCTGGAAGGACATAATGGCTGAGGGATCTGAGGCACAAACCTGGAGCTCAATGGATCCGGGTCACCTCCAAGTCTTTGAGGGGTGTCACAGGACAAAGGAAACAGACATGATCTGTGGTGCCCAGTGGCTGAGCTAAGACAAATCGATGGAATGGAACTGCAGCAGGAGACTTGATCTCTCTTCACTGTAAAAAGCAAATTCCAAGAGTCAGAGCTACCCAAATAAAGGATGAGCTACCTTGGATGGTAATGAGCTGCTTATCACTAGAGATGTGCAAGACTGTTTTAAATAGTAAAAGGTTGAGTGGGGTGACCTGTGAGTCCTAACACTCTCTTCTCTATTCATCCATCTCAGGAGACTCTAATCATTCCAGTGAGCCCAGACACTCAGCAATCCTGTTGCCTCCAGAGCCAACCCATCCTCTACCAATAATCAAGTGTTAATCATATTTTTACATTGTCCACTCATATCCTACTACCTATTCCTGGCTGTACCATGCTTCAGAGAAATCCCCCTTCTGGGCTAGGAGTCAGGAATCATGTCACCATTTTGCTCTCTGACCTTGGAAATGTTGTGCTTCCTCTCTGAACTTCAGGCCTGACATTAAATATCATACCCTGCCTGATCCATCACCAAATATGACAAGTGAACGTCCACTCAGTTCACTTAAGGTCTGCTGGTGACCCCAGGGTCTTAAACATAGTCAGTGCTCAATAAATAGTTGATGAATTGGCTTATGCTCAACATAGTGACTGGAACTGTTGAACTGAACTGGACTGAACTGAATTGACAAACATGTATGGTACAGAGCAGCAGAATGTTGGAGCTAGATGAAATTTACAAACTATTTGGCCTCAGCCTCTCTCACCACCTACCCTTCCTTCCCTACCCTAGCCTCATTTTCCACTGAAGGACAAAGGGGCTAAGGATCACTGTTCTCATTCCTCACAGAAAACACTGTCTGAATCATCTCACCTGTATTAAAGAGTTCTAACTTGTTGTTTTTGAACCAGACCTCTTCCCCAGGCCCCAGACCTGTTTGGCCTCTGCCCACCAATATACTTATGATTATTCAACATGTACCACACAATCAATATATCTCACTCCCCCAACACCTGCCCCTGCTGAGCTCCCATATCAGTGCAGGGCACCACCATCCCCCAGTATCTTAGTTGAGAAACCTGGGGTCATCCTAAACTTTCCTGATTCTTTTTTAAAAACTAGGCTGACTCCTGGGAGTGGAGAGCAATGAATGATTCCTGAGTTTATTATTTTTACACCAGTAATAAACTCAATTTTACAAGCTTAGAATAATAATTTGAAAAAGACGCAGTGCAGAATTGATCTGAAAGTGCACCTTTCAGCAAAGCACACCAATATTTGCTGAAATAGCCAGATTATAAATTCCATATTCATCATAGTTTTTTCCGGGAGCAGCACCCCCTCCCCATCAGGTTGGCCTTGCTGGCAGCCAACCTAGATCATGCTTTCTTGCCTAGGAGGGGCAGAATCTACTTGAAGAGCTGTAGGGGAGGTCACTGAGTAGACTGGAGGTCAGGAGACCTGGCTGCTTCTTTACCCATCTGTGAAAAGCACTCAGGGAGTTGGATCAGAGCATCAGAATGCAGATCCCTGGGCCTCCCTGAATCTGTAGCTGGGACCATGGAATATGCATTTTTTAAAAGGCTTCCCAAGTGATCCTGATACATTTGGTTTGCAGGCACCATTGTGAATATCACCTAATTAATCCAGCTCAAGAGGTCTTTCAGTTCCTGTGAAGCTGTGGACAGTCACCCCTGGTCCTATCCAATGCTCAGGATGGGAGGTGGCTCTTCAGTGTGACTGGAGCTGCTGCAAACCACAACTATGTGATGTCCCAACACAACCTCCTTCTCAGGGTGGTGCCAGCCATGCCAAGGACCAGGTTAAGGAGCGAACTGGCAGGACCACTATTTGGGGTAGTAATTTATATAGGGCACTAGAACATTTCTGAAAATATAACAAAATATATTTCCTAAAACACTGCGCAAAGATAGAACCATGCATGGCTAGAAAGAATTCTCTGCTAACCTGCTTGGTCTGGTAACAGAATGCTAAATTGCTTTCCACGTCAGGGCTCCTACTAGCAAGCAATAGAAACAGCCTTCTTGCTGGTAACAAGCAGAAGGCAAATTTAGTGAAAGAACAGTGAGGATCTCACAGAATACATGGGACAGATGCAGAACCAGGATTAGAAAATGGGCAGAGGCCAGGACCATGGCCAGAAGCTCTCACAGAGCAGAGTACCAAGAACTCTGCTACCGGCCCCAAGTCCTGCTAGCCACAGCTCACACGGCAGAGCTGCTTGCACTGGGCACTGGATCCGCCAGCTGCCCTGCTGCCACCATGACCCTTGGAGGCTGGGGCTGCTGCTGCACCAGCATGGAGCCTCCACTGTCTGTGTCACTGGAGCAGATGGGAGCGAGTGCCTGTGGCCTCACTGCTGGGAGGCTGGAAAATAAGTGTCCAGCCTTTTCTGCTTCTACTGTGAGAGCCAGACTCTGACAAAGCATAAGCGGGGCACTCAGATGCCAGGATGGCTCCCAAAGGACAAATGTCCACTCCAGGGAGACCTGCTTACCTACAGAGCTCTGGTCTTACAGAATGGACTAATCAAGTTTGGGGCCAGAAGTAAATATCTCAGGAGAGTAAAAAGAGGATTAATGTCACCGTTAGCTATCCCTTCTCTTTAGATAAATGTCAAGGCTTTCATTTTGAAGCTGTGTTAAGCTGTTTGCCTGCCTGGAGGGACATCTCTATGTCTCAGTTAGAGCCTGGCCATTTCCCAATCATGAGTTCTATCAGGTCAGGCCAGGAAGAAGACTTAGACCCTGAGACTCAGGGACGTCTAAGCTGATATCCATGGAATGTGTCTTAATGACCTCTCTATAATTGTGGTAACATGGCTTGGGAGTAGAGTTGCCTGCGTTCTGGGCAATGATCATTGCAATGGTATGATCTGTGGGAAGAAATAGAAATGCTCTGAAGTGGGGAAAGGACGAGAATATAGTCACATATGCTTTCATTTGTGCCACATGCCTGCCCACCCCAGGAGGGTCCCCTGGGACTGGGGGTGACACCGTTGCATGGTCCTCCACCCTCCCCCACCTTATGGACTTTCACTTATCCATGGCTAATCATTCTACAGACAAAATTACCAAGGCCCAGAGAAGGTCCTTTGTCTGCCTGAACCCAGAAATTGCAGGAAAGCAGGCAGAGTCAGGCTGCACCTTTTCCTTAAAATCAGGATCAGCTTGGAGTCCAAGGGGCCTATACAGACAGCTTCTGCTAAAGACCCTAACATGTCAGTGACTCACAGTGAACATTTATTTCTGGCTCACATCCATATCTGCTGTGGGTCAGCTTTGGCTCTGACCCACACCACCCTCATTTCAACACCTAGACTAGATGAAAACACCTTATTTTGCTCCCATGGTAGGAAAGAAAGAGCAATCATGGAAATGTGTGACGGCTCTTGGAGCTTCTGCTCAGAACTGGTTGTGTGGCCAAACCTGATGTCAGTGGGGTGGAGAAATTATACAATCTTCTCAGAAGGAGGGCAGGAAACAGTGGGAAGCAATAACACAATCAACTGCAGAGCCATCCTTGGGAAGCCACCACAGCGGACCCCTCCAGCGTCTCCTGCTCCTGACCCACTTGTCCTCCAAGTTGAGCCCCCAGCTGTCCCATGCCTCCTGCCCCTTCAGCTCTTTTCCTAGAGTTTGACCCAACAGTCCTAGTCCCATCTTTGAGATGTGGGGACTGAGGCCCACGGAGGAGACACAGGTCACCAAACTCCTCCCTAATGCCCTTCCCTGGGCAAGTGGCTCCATGCCAACCCCATCTTTTTCCGTGCGTCCCCTGCATCCCTCAGAAATACCTCTCTGTAGAGCACCGGCTGCATACCTGCTATGAAACTATATGCTTCTCACTGAGTCTCCCAACCACTTTGTGTAGTCAGTAATATCGATTATGCCCATCTCGCAGATAAGGAAACTGAGGCTTCCAGTGTAAATGACTTGCCCAGGGTCATACACAGAGATGGTACAAACCAGTTTTGCCCAACTCCAAAGCGTCCCACCACTGCCCCTCACACTGACTCGAATCCCTTCCTCCCCAGCCCCTGCCCACATTCATGGCCACCCAAGGTGTCATCCGCGGTCGAGGTGTCACAGCCACAGGACTGTCTCCCTCCCCACCTGCTCTAATCTTTAATTCAGACCCACCAAGCCAGCCCTTCAGCTCCCATTGCCAGCCACAGAAATGAGGATAAATGCGGCTGTCAGCGGCTTCCTGCCTCTTTGTTTTTTAATTTACTTAGAGTTGGGCAGCAGAGATGGCAGGAGAGGAAGCAGATGGCTCAGCATGACAGATGGGATCCTATCCAGTGACACAAGGACAAGGTGAGGAGAAAGCGTGATCAAAAGAAAGCGCAGCCCCAGTGCGAGAGTGCACTGCTTGAGCTCCCGTGCCAGGACGGCAGCACTGCAGCCGGCCTGCCAGCCTCCAGGGCGCAGGCTGGCACCTCTCAGGGCTGGGGCTCCAGACCTTCAGCCAACAGTGGGGACACTGAGGCTGGGAGAGTGACTGCAGCCTGCCTGGAGTCACCCAGTCAGCCATTCACAGAGCTGGGACTAGAACCTGGGACTGGGTTTGAAGAGGGCAGCTCCTGTCCCACCTCTGTCCAACCTCCTGAGGAGGATGGCAGGTGAGTCGATAGCACGTGGAATTTTACACTTGGGCCTTACCTGGTGCCCCACCCTGGGTATGTCCTGCAGGGACAATGTCATTGTTCACAGGCACAGCTGCACTCGGATGGGAGAGGAGCCGGGAGATTAAAGGCCCTTTTGTTCTTGTGTACACTCGGTAGACCCAGGCAGGCAAAGGTAGGTCCTGCAAAATTCCAGAGCGGGGACTGGACAAAGCTGCAGAGCCCCAGTGCAAGAAAGTGAGAATTTGGAGTTCCCAGGGGGAATCCTGGGAGGAGGTGAGAGGAGGGGGAAGAAATGGGCTCTGGAGGCCAAGAGGCTATGATGGCCAAGTGCAAGTTTTACTCTATTTGGGGAAAGTCTGCTTATTTTTGTGAAAATAATGAAAAGGGCTGTATTTTCCACCTCCACAACAGCGTAGGAAAGAAACAGCACTGGTGAGATAAAAAGATGATTCAGAAAGGGAACTCACTCAGAGCCAAAGGTGACCAGGGGAAAGTCCTCTGGGGATTTAGAGTGATCTTGGGGAGCACTGGCTTTTCCTCGGAATGGAATTTGGGGCTTTGAGTCCATCTTATCACAAAAGGCTGCACTGGGGATATAGTATCATGAAAGCCATTTTGTAGGGGAGCGAGGAAGGTGGAGATTGTGAAACTGCTACAAGCATCAAGAGGGGAAAGATCTGAGGATGCGCACTTGAAGGGCATGAGGACCAGGCCCCCATCCCAGCCCTTCCTGTCCATGACCATGTGTAATGCTTATGGTGGCGTTGGAGTGAGGAGACTATTGTCACTCCCAGTTACATACGAGGACTCAGAGAGAAGTGGCCTGCCCAAGGCTGCCCAGTGTATAAGAGGAGGATCAAAGATTTGAACCCAACTCTATCCAACCCTAAAAGTTCATTGTTTCTTCTCTCATGAAACCTGCTTCCACTTAGACATGCTAAGCTTGAAGGCAGGGTAAGGTCTTTGTCTTCACTGACAGTAGCTTTTCTCACCTGCCCCCATGTGAGCCACATAATATACTTGGCATCTCTAGAAATCACAAGGCTAAGCTCCTGGGAGTGAAACAGGCGCCGTACACCCAAAGCAGCAGCCCTAACCCTAAGGGCCCAAGAGATAGGAGAATTTCAAGCCAATTTCTGATGGACTCTGGCTGCCTGTTACACAGTAGGAGCCCAGGCTCTGCAGTCTGACCCAGGGGTTGTGGAGATGAACAAGGCAGGAGCCTGTTCTCCAGGCACCTATGAGGCAGGATCTTAGCAGGAAAAAATAAGTCAATTCAAAGAAGACACTCGAAGGAAGGGACCACTACAGAGGTGTAAGCAGGATGTTGCGGCACCCAGACACTAGCAACAGTGGGAGCCACTGACACCCCTAGGCCTGAAGGGGCTAAGAGAAGGAATGCTGATTTATTTATTTTTATTTATTTATTTATTTATTTTTTGATGGAGTCTCACTCTGTTGGCCAGGCTGGAGTGCAGTGGTGCAATCTCGGCTCATTGCAACCTCCAACTCCCGGGTTCAAGCGATTCTCCTGCCTCAGCCTCCCGAGTAGCTGGGATTACAGACACCCGTCACGACACCTGGCTAATTTTTGTATTTTTAATAGAGACGGAGTTTCACCATGTTGGTCAGGCTGGTCTCGAATGCCTGACTTCATGATCTACCTGCCTCGGCCTCCCAAAGTGCGGGGATTACAAGCATGAGCCGCTGCACCAGGCCTGGAATGCTCTTCTTAAGAGCCTAGTGAGGCAGAGCCTAGTGAGGCAGGGCCTAGTGAGGCAGGGGCCAGTGGCTCATGCCTGTAATCCCAGCACTTTGGGAGCTCAATGCAGATGGATCACTTGAGGCCAGGAGTTTGAGATCAGCCTGGTCAAGATGGCAAAACTCGATGTCTACTAAAAATACAAAAGTTAGCCAGGCTTGATGTCATGTGCCTGTAATTCCAGCTACTTAGGAGGCTGAGGTGTGAGAATCACTTGAACCTGGGAGGTGAAGGTTGTGGCTGCCTGGCACACCATGGTCACAGAAGGACCCAGACCCTGCCATGACATGATCTTAAAGCAAGAAGGGAGCAGGGAAGAGCTACCCTGACTATTCCTTCTCTCCTTCTCCGATCGCCCAAGTGCCTCCCATGGACTGAACCCAACCTAATGCCTGAGGGCAAAGGAGCCCAGATGATACCATCCATGTGGGTCAGCCCCCCAGAGACAGGGCAGGGTGGAGAAAGTCAGAGGATGGCCCTGGAAGGGATTACAAATAGAGAAGAACCAGCCCACCCTGAAATGTGACTATCAGATTTTCCCAGTAAGTACCTCCTGATCAGGGCTTGACAAGTCCACTGTTATTTTTAGGTTAGATGTTGGACATGATAACTCTATAATTAGGGACAGGCAGGTTTTCCTTACTCCTTCTTCCCTTTTATAAAGTTGTTGCCTTTCATGATGACCCTGAGCCTGTAGGGCCCTCTTGTCCCATATCACAAAGGTGAACATTATGGCTCAAGCTGGAGACGACACCATGTTCCCCATCCCTTCCAGTTCAGGGAGAGTGGTTGAGGGGGCTCCTCCCAGGTAGTACCAGGGAGTCTATCCTGACACTAGACCCTTCCTTCCAGGCAGGGATAGGCAGTGTTCCTTGAGGACTCAAAATACACAGTTCACATCAAGAACCACCTTCACCGATTTTGATTGTACACCAAAGATATCATGAGTCTCCAATCAAACTCAGATATTTCTCCCCCTCCTGAGCATCTCTCCTCTCCCCTTAGTCCTGCCCTGATCTGGAGCAAGCCACTAGAATTCAAAATAATACCTGGAGAAACTAATTTGAAACCTCTAAGTCACTCAAAGAGGCACAGATGGTCTGCAAAGCAATTTTCCCAGTGACTTTGGGAGAAGAGGGAGGAGTGTGAAGGAGAGACCTGACTGTCACCATCCATGAGACAATGCAGCAGGGATTAGCAAAACCACATTGTTAACATCAGCCAGAGCTTGTTCATACTCAGCACAGATTCAGCAAACCCAATATTATTGCAATTTTGATATCCTACGATTTACTTCCTCTATTCTCCCGGTAATAATTCCCAACTTACTTGCTTTTCTTCAAATTCCCCAAATTCTTTACATCCTTTAAGGTCTATCTTAAGAGGCACCACTATCATTCATTCATTCATTCATTTATTCAACTGATGCTTTTGAAACCTGCTTTGTGCCAAGTACTGGAGCTACAACTGCCGTAGAGACAGGCTTGGCCCTGGCCCTTGGGGAGGGTTTCTCCATCAAGCAGTCTTTTTCATCTTTGACCTCTCCCTAAGCACCCCTCCCCGATGGCCCTATCACATTTGACCTTCGGTGATGATCACATAAGTCAGCGTCTAATCCTCCCCACCAGAATGCCTGCTCCTGAGAGACTGAGATGGCGCCTTTCTCTAAATGGACCAGCGTAGCACCAAACACACATTAGATCGGAATCCAGCACGGATTTTTCAAACAGATGAAGCCAATCGTTTAACCTCCGCCTCTTCATCTGTATAATGGGAAACATTATCTCAGGGTTTTCTGAGTCGAATGTTCTGAGTTGATGAATGTGAAAGCACTTTGCAAATTGTACGCCTCTAAGCCCCAGAGGGGAATAAGCCTGTATTTACCACCATGACCACGCACAGCAGTTAACCAAAAAGAAACTCCATCCAGCTCTTCTGCAGATCCAGGATTGCAGTGTGAATCTCTCTGGAATCCGAGAGACAAAGCAAGTGCTGAAGAACCCCCGCCCCAACCCTGCATCCCTCCTTGCAGTTAAAAGGCGGGTCAATTACCACTGGCTCATTTGTAATCATTACAGTTGTGAGATTTTCCTGCTGATTGCTCCAGTTAAGAAGCCCCTCATCCATGGAAGGGGCTCAGGGCTTGAGAGCTCCTTTTGTCTTCCAGTTCCATCCAGTCCCACCCACTCTGAAGCTGGGAGAAAGGGTGTCAGGAATGGGGTGCAGGTGCCAGTCTGCCCTCAGTATCTATGAAGCCTCAAACGTTTTTCCAGGCTAACTTCTGATGGAGGAGCTCGAGAGATAATCCCATTATAGAAAGGGACCCCTGGACATTTTCATCAAGTTGATGCATATCGTCCATATTTCATCATCAGCCAGGCAGGCTTTCTCACTCTTTTGACACGAAAACAGACAGGTGGGGCTGTTTTGATTTGGGCTGCCTGGTTTTTTTCCCCAGGGAAGCCACTTCCTCTGGCTTGCATGATAATTGAATTTCACGGATGGAATCTTTCACATACTTCTCAATTAGGGATGTGTACAGGCAGCAAGATTTTTCAGGTGTTGATCTATGATTCTCACTCTATTTTTTTTATCTTTAATCTTAATTTCTGCCAGCTCTAAATCCAGCTTTGCTAAATAGTATTATTCTGACTTAAATGATCTAATCTGTTTGCCGTAAACCGGGTACAGCTGAAAATCGTGTATGCAGGAGATTTCCTCATTAATCACAGCTGACAAGAAATCAGAAATCAAGCAGCAAAATAGTCTCCGAAGGCCAAGTGCGGAGAAAGTGGGAGAAGTAGCTAACCGGGTCTGCTGGCCGAGCTAGGAGGGTGGGGGTTAGTCCCAGCTCTGTTTCCGAGGCTCTGGCTAAGTCTCTGCCCTCTGTGGGCTTCAGTTTCTACTTCCCTTCCTTTAAAAAAGGAAGGAAGGAAGCAGAGATGGGGGGGTGTCAGATCAATTGAGTCCTCAGGGATCTTTTCAGCTGCAACATTCTCTAAGCCTATACATGACCCCCCAAAAATGCCACCCAAATGACATCTTGGTATTTAAACGCACAGCTGAGGCTGGGTGCGGCGGTTCACACCTGTAATCCCAGCTACTCAGGAGGCTGAGGTGGGAAGATCGCTTGAGCCCCAGAGGTTGAGGCTGCAGCTCACTGCAAAATCACACCACTGTACCCCAGCTTGGACAACAGAGCAAGACTCAGCCTGAAAAAATAAAATAATAAATGCACAGCTGTTATTGACTCTTAAGAACACTAAGAGAACCTATAGTCTCAATCACTTTATCACAGCATTTTCCGAAGTGAGGGAAGCAAGATGATCGCAGGTAGTAAAGGAACATGGAATTCAGTCACACAGCAAAGCTGTCCCTCTTTCAAGCCCCATTCTTCTCAGCAGCTCAAGGAGAAAGGGCTCCGTTGGGTGCGAGCACATCGTCCATGCCTCTCTCAAGCCGACTCATCTCCCAGGGTAACAGACAGACAGCAGCCCTGGGCACCGCAGTTCCCTTGTCAAGCAGCAGATCCAGTTAGCCGCCAATATATGCTTGGTGGTGGGGCTCTGTGTGGTTTCTTTTTGTCCATATAGGGTAAAGGGTGTTTCCTTTTAGACATACTTGTTAAAGAGCTGATTTTAAAGAATATTACGTTAACGCAGAAGCTATGTGACTATGGCAAAAATTAAAAGTAGTAAGAATGTCTGGTTTCACAGTCTCTGGAAAAATATTTAGTGCCTGGTGGAAGGCCAGGCACTATTCAGGAACCAGGAAGACAGGTGAGTGACACCCTTAGGTCCTTAACCTCCCTCCCAACCCCCCAGTCCTATTTCCTGAGTGTCCAGGCTACCCTTACACCCCCACACCACCCCCAGCCTGCATCCTAGCGCCGATCACAAAGCCAGCACGCTCACCCCCGTGGGGGCCAGGGTTTCATCACTCTGCAGTAGGTGACCAACTCTACTGGTTTGTTTGGCCTCAGGCATTCCTGGGATGAGGGACTTTCCATTTCCAGGCAATCTGGACCATCTAGTTGGTCATCCTCCCGGTGAGCCCGCCCACTCCAAAAGTCATGCCTCCCTCCAGCTTCCTCACCCTCACCTCCTGGCTGTAGCTGCAGCTGCGGCGGAACAGCCCCCTCCCCCACACCCACAACCTGGCACCCTTCCAGATTCTGGTCTCTGCTTAGCACCGCCTGTCACCGTCTTTTCTAACCCTCCCCCACTCCACTTAAGAGCTACTTCACACTTCCCCCGCCCTCCCGGAGCCCCCCCCCCCCCCCGCTCCATTCGCCACTCTTCTCTCCCTCCACAGATGAGTTTGCTCCACTTGAGGATACAGAGCACCCCGGCAGCAGGTATGAACGAGCCCCCTCCCTCCCTGCCGACCCCCCCCTCACCTCCCCTTGCACCTGGATGCAGGCAGTCCAGCCCCCGCCCCCTTACTCTGTTCTCCTTCGTCTCTCCTGTATCTGCAGTCACTCCCATCCTACTGGCACCTTCCTGTCAATAACGCCCTCTCCATCAAACTACCCTCTCTCTTGTTGCGCCCAATAGCTCTCAGGGGGCTGTCTCCACTCCCCTTTCTCATCCCTTCCAGTCACTCACTTCCCCATCCCTGCACTTTGGCTTCTGCTTCCTCTAAAGCAGCTCTCTCCACATCTCTCTGATGCACTGCTAACTGCCAAATCCAGTGGATACTCAGTGTCCTTTGTTCTGAATGTTTTACAGATATTATCTCATTGGGCCGGGCGCGGTGGCTCACGCCTGTAATCTCAGAACTCTGGGAGGCCGAGGTGGGCGGATCGCCTGAGGTCAGGAGTTCAGACCAGCCTGGCCAACATGGTGAAACCCCGTCTCTACTAAAAATACACAAATTAGCTGGGTGTGGTGGCGGGCGCCTGTAATCCCAGCTACTCAGGAGGCTGAGGCAGGAGAATCGCTTGAACCCAGGAGGCGGCAGTTGCAGTGAGCCGAGATCACACCACTGCACTCCAGCCTGGGCGACAGAGTGAGATTATCTCAAAAAAAAAAAAAAAAAAAAGTATTACCTAGTTGAGCAAGACTATGTGTTAACATGAAATAAAATGATACAGGCCAGGCACGGTGGCTCAAACCTGTAATCCCAGCACTTTGGGAGGCCGAGGTGGGCGGATCACCTGAGGTCAGGAGTTCGAGACCAGCCTTGGCCACACCAACATGGTGAAACCCCATCTCTACTAAAAATACAAAAATTAGTCAGGCATGGTGGTGTGCACCTGTAGTCCCAGCTACTCGGGAGGCTGAGGCAGGAGAAGTGCTTGAACCCAGGAGGCGGAGGTTGCAGTGAGCTGAGATCATGCCACAGCACTCCAGCCTTGGAGACAAAGCAAGACTCCATCTCAAAAAAAAAAAAAAAGGAAAGAAAAGAAAATGATACAACAACCTAGCAAGATAGGCATTATTTACCCCCCACCTTTTACAGATGAGGCAACTGAGGAACAGAGAGGTTAAGTATCTTATCTAAAGTCACACAGCTACATGTGATGGAGCAGATGGCTCAGAAATCTGTGCTCCTAACACTCCCCTCTGGCACCTCTCTGCCACCTTCACTTCTGATGTTCATTGCCTTCCTCCTAATTTTTGTGTCCCCAGCACCTGGGATAGGGTCTGGCTCCCAGAGGCTGCTCAATAAGTGTTGTGGACTGAACTCACTGAATGCTTGTGGTGCACCCCTGTCCTCAGGGAAGTCATGGTCTAGGGGAGGAAGCAGACAAGTGACTGAACAGCAGCCACCAGTGTGCTCTGTGGGACATTTTCAGAGGCCTCCAGGGACACAAGGAGGAGAAGATGACAAGAGTGATGGAGAATAATAATAGCACCAGCCACACCAGAGTGGCCACTGTTTGTTGAATTCTAATATGCACCAACAACTATGCTAAAAAGTTTACATTATCTCATTGAGTCTTCAAAACAATCCTGTGAGGTAGGCATTATTTTTAAGCTCAGTTTAGAGATCAAGAAACCAAAGTTCGGAGAGGTTCACAGGGAAAGCTAGTGGAAAAGATGGAGCCTCCAACCTGGGGCGGGGTGTCCGGAAGGCGTTCCAGAGGTGGTGCCTCCTGAGCAGGGTTTTGAAGCACCATTGGGAACCAGTCAACTGAAGAAGAGCACAGGGGTGCTCCAGGGGGAGGACACAGCAGCTACAAAGGCCCAGAGGCCAAGAGCCTGGGCCCGTCAGGGAACCTCAGACAGCTGGGTGGGCCGGAGCTCAGAGAATGAAATGGGGACTGGGAAACCTGAGGCTTTCATGGGAAGCAGGTAGAGAAAAAGGGAGCCTGGCAAGGCCACTGGGAGGAATTTCAGCTCCATGGACCAGAGGCTTTCAAGTGGTGGTGTGTGTGTCAGAACTGCAAAACTGCAGCCTTGAGCCTCCCTCCCAGGTAATGTGTATCAGTAGATCAAGGACAAGGTTCAAGAATTTTTGTTGTTTTTGGTATATGCCTCATTAAGACTCAACTATACTTAACAGCTTTATGAAATATAATTCACATGAATACACTGTACATATTTAAAGTATACAACTTGATAAGATTTGACATATGTTTACACCCACGAAACCATCACCAAGACCGTGAGCTTCTCCTTCATCCCCAGAGCTTTCCTCTTGTTCTTCATAATCCCTCCCCACCTCATCCTCACTGGTTGGCTTTCTGTCACTACAGATTAGTTTGCATTTCCTAGAATTTTATACAAGTGAAATCATACAGCATGTATTCTTTTTTTGTCTGTCTTGTTTCTGCAGCATGATTATTTTAAGATTCATTCTGAGGTAGGCACCACATTTCTATCAATAGTCTGTTCCTTTCTATTGCAGAATAGCATTCCATTGTATGGATGTGCTATAATTTATCCATTTACCTGTTGAGTGACAAATAATGCTGCTATGAATATTTGTGTGCAAATATTTTAATGCACATATACTTTCATTTGTCTTGGGTAAACACCTCAGAGTAGGATGGCTGGATCATAAAGTATAACTTTTTGAGAAATGCCAAGTTATTTTCCAATATAGTAGTACAATTTTACATCAACATCAGCAGTGGATGAGAGCTCCAATTTCTCCACATTCTCAACAACACTTGGTATGGACAGTCTTTTGACATTTAGCCTTTCTGATAAGTACACAGTGGTATCTTACTGTGGTTTTAAATTTGATTTCCCTGATAACTAATGATAATGAGCATCTTATGTTCTAATTTGCCTTCTTTGAAGCATCTGTACCACTCTTTTGTCCACTTTTAAGTGGGATTTTTTGTTTTCTTATTATTAGATTTTGAGATTTCCATATTCTCGATACATATCCTTTATCGGATATATGAATCCCAAATATCATTTCCAGACTGTTGCTTATCTTTTTGCTCTCATAACAATGTCTTTTGAAGAGAAGTTTTTAACTTGATTAAATCCAATTTATCAAATTTTTGTTATTTATTTATTTATTTATTTATTTATGAGATGACATCTTGCTCTGTCACCCAGGCTGGAGTGCAGTGGCACGATCTCAGCTGACTGCAACCTCTGCCTTCTGGGTTCAAGTGATTCTCCTTCCTCAGCCTCCTGAGTAGCTGGGATTACAGGTGCATGCCACCACGCCCAGCTAATTTTTGTATTTTTAGTAGAGACGGGGTTTTGCCGTGTTGGCCAGGCTGGTCTCAAACTCCTGACCTTAGGTGATCCACCGGCCTCGGCCTCCCACAGTGCTGGGATTACAGGCATGAGCCCACCGTGCCAGCCTCAAATTTGTTTTTATAGACTGTGCTTCTGGTGACATAGCTAAGAAATCTTTGCCTAATATGAGTTTACAAAGATTTCCTCTCATGCTTCTTTCTAAAAATATAGTTTTAGGATTACAATTAGGTCTTTGATCCATTTGAGTTAATTTTTGTATATAGTACAAAGTACAGATGTAAGTTATTGGTTTTGTGGGGTTTTTTTGCATGTGAATATCTAGTTGTTCTAGCTTTTGTTAAAAAGTTGTCTTTTCTTAGCACCTTTGTAAAAAAAATCAGTTGTCCATATATGTGTGAGTTTATTTCTGGACTGTTTATTCAGGCTGTTTATTTTCTTTTATTGTTAGCTATATTTATGTCAGACAAAATAGATTTCAAGACAAAAACTGTAAGAGGAGACAAAGGTGGTCACTATATAATGATAAAGGGATCAATTCAGCAGGAGAATATAACAATTTTAAATATGTAGCACCCAACATGGGAGCACTCAGATACATAAAGCAAACATTATTAGAGCTAAAGATAGAGCCCAATACAAAAATATCTTGAGACTTCAAAACCCCACTATTAGCATTGGACCAATCTTCCAGACAGAAAATCAACAAAGAAACATTAGATTTAATTTGCACCATAGACCAAATGGACCTAATAGATATTTACAGAACATTTCATCCAGGGGCTACGGAATACAGATTCTTTTCCTTAGCACATGGATCATTCTCAAGGATAGATCATATATTAGGTCACAAAACAAGTCTTAAAACATTCCCAAAAATTAAAATAATATCAAGCATTTTCTCTGACCACAATGGAATAAAACTGGAAATCAATAACAAGAGGATTTTTGGAAACTGCACAAATATATGGAAATTAAACAATATACTCCTGAATGACCAGTGGGTCAGTGAATGAATTAAGAATAAAATCAAAAATTTTTTGGAAACAAATTATAACAGAAACACAACATACCGAAACCTATGGGATACAGCAAAAGCAGTACAAAGATGGAATTTTATAGTTATAAGTGCCTCAAAAAAATAAGAAAAACTTCAAATAAATAATGATGCATCTTAAAGAACTATAAAACCAAGAACAAATCAAACCCAAAATTAGTAGAAGAAAAATAATAATAAAGATCAGAGCAGAAATAAATGAAATTGAAATGAAGAAAACAATACAAAAGATCAATTTAACAAAAAGCTGTTTTTTTGAAAAAATAAATGAACAAACCTTTAGCCAAAGAAAAAGGGAGAGAAGACCTAAATAAATAAGATCAGAGATTAAAAAGGAGACATTACAACTGATACCACAGAAATTCAAAGGATCATTAGTGGCTACTATGAACAACTATGCACCAATAAATCAGAAGATCTAGAAGAAACAGATAAATTCCTAGACACGTGAAATCTATCAAGATTGAAACATGAAGAAACCCAAAGCCTGAACAGCCCAACAACAAGTAATGAGATTGAAGCTGTAATAAAAAGTCCCAGCAAAGAAAAGCCCAGTACCCAATGGCTTCACTACTGAATTCTACCAAACATTCAAAGAAGAACTAATCCCAGCCAGGCGCGGTGGCTCACACCTGTAATCCCAGCACTTTGGGAGACCGAGGTGGGCGGATCATGAGGTCAGGAGATCAAGACCACCCTGGCTAACACGGTGAAACCTCGTCTCTACTAAAAATACAAAAAATTAGCTGGGTGCGGTGGCGGGCGCCTGTAGTCCCAGTTACTCGGGAGGCTGAGGCAGGAGAATGGCATGAACCCAGGAGGCAGAGTTTGCAGTGAGCCGAGATTGTACCACTGCACTCCAGCCTGGGTGACAGAGCGAGACTCCGTCTCAAAAAAAAAAAAAAAAAAAAAAAAAGAACTAATCCCAATCCCACTAAAACTATTCCTAAAAATAGAGGAGGGAATACTTCCAAACTCATTCTATGAGGCCAGTATTACCCTGATACCAAAACCAGAAAAAGATACATCAAAATAAGAAAATGATAGGCCAGTATCACTGGTGAATATTGCCTCAAAAACCCTCACCAAAATACCAGCAAACCAAATTCAACAACACTTAAAAAGATTGCTCATCGGCCAGGCACGGTGGCTCACATCTGTAATCTAGCACTTTGGGAGGCCAAGGCGGGTGGATCACCTGAGGTCAGGAGTTTGAGACCAGCCTGCCAACATGGTGAAACCCCATCTCTACTAAAAATACAAAAATTAGTCAGGCGTGGTGGCATGCGCCTGTAGTCCCAGCTACTCGGGAGGCTGAGGCAGGAGAATCGCTTAAACTCAGGAGGCAGAGGTTGCAGTGAGCCAAGATAGTGCCACTGCACTCCAGCCTGGGCATCAGAGCAAGACTCTGTCTCAAAAAAAAAAAAAAAAGATTTTTCATCAAGACCAAGTGTGATTTGTCCCAGGGATGCAAGAATGGCTCAACATACACAAATCAATTAATGTGATACATCATATCAAAAGAATGAAGGACAAAAACATATAGTCATTTCAATTGATGCTGGAAAAGCATGTGATAAAATTCAGCATCCCTTCATGATAAAAACCCTAAAACAAAACTGAGGATAGAAGGAACATACCTCAACATAATAAAAACCGTATATGGGCCTGGCATGGTGGCTCACGCCTGTAATCCCAGCACTTTGGGAGGCTGAGGTGGGTGGAACACCTGAGGTTAGGAGTTTGAGACCAGCCTGGCCAATATGATGAAACCCTATCTCTACTAAAAGTACAAAAATTAGCTGTGCATGGTGGCACATACCTGTAATCCCAGCTACTCAGGAGGCTGAGGCAGGAGAATTGCTTGAACCTGGGAGGCGGAGGTTGCAGTAAGCTAAGATTGTGCCACTGTACTCCAGCCTGGGTGAAAGAGCGAGACTGCATCTCAAAAAACAAAAACCTATATGACAGACCCACAGCTAGTATCATACTGAATGGGGAAAACTGAAAGTCTTTCCTCTAAGATCAGGAACACAAGGATGACCACTTTCACCACTTTCATTCAACATAGTACTAGAAGTCCTAGCTAGAGCAGTCAAGAGAAAGAAATAGAGGACATACAAATTGGAAAGGAAGAAGTCAAATTATTCTTATTTGCAGATGTTATAATCTTATATTTGGAAAAACCTAAAGATTCTACCAAAAACTATTAGAACTGATAAACAAACTCTTGGAAGTAAAGTTGCAGGATACAAAATCAACATACAAAAAATCAGTAGTGTTTCTATATACCAATGGCAAAAAATCAGAAAAAGAAATCAAGAAAGTAATTTTATTTACAACAGCTACAAATAAAATTAAATACCTAGGAATTAACTTAACCAAAGAAGTGAAAGAACTCTACAATGAAAATTATAAAACATTGATGCAAGAAATTGAAGAAGACAAAAAAAAAAGGTAAAGATATTCCGTGTTCATGGATTGGAAGAATATTGCTAAAATGTTCATAATACTCAAAGCAATCTATAGATTTAATGCAATCCCTATCAAAATACCAATGACATTCTTCACAGAAATAGAAAAAACACTCTGAAAATTTATATAGAACCACAAAAGACCCAGAATAGCCAAAGCTATCCTAATCGAAAAGAACAAAACTGGAGGAATCACGTTATCTGATTTTAAATTATACTATAGAGCTATAGTAACCAAAATGTCATGGTACTGGCATAAAACAGACACATAGATCAGTGCGACAGAATAGAAAACCCAGAGATAAATCCATACATCTACAGTGAACTCATTTTTGACAAGGTGCTAAGAGCATACCTTGGAAAAAGGATAGTCTCTTCAGTAAATGGTGCTGGGAAAATTGGATATCCATATGCAAAAGAATAAAACTAGACCCCTGTCACACACCATATACAAAAATCAAGTCAAAGTGGATTAAAGACTTAAATCTAAGACCTCAAACTATGAAATTACTACAAGAAAACATTGGGGAAACTCTCCAGGACATTGGGCTGGGCAAACATTTCTTGAGTAAGAACCCATAAGCACAGGCAACCAATGCAAAATGGACAAATGGGATCACATTAAGTTAAATATCTTCTACACAGCAAAAGAAACAATCAACAAAGTAAATAGACAACCCATAGAATTGGAGAAAATATTTGCAAGCTACCCATCTGACAAATGATTAATAACCAGAATATAGGCCAGGCGCGGTGCCTCACGCCTATAATCCCAGCACTTTGGGAGGCTGAGGTGGGTAGATCACCTGAGGTCCGGGGTTTGAGACCAGCCTGGCCAACATAGTGAAAACTCATCTCTACTAAAAATACAAACAATTAGCTGGGCATGGTGGCGGGTACCTGTAATTCCAGCTACTTGGGAGGCTGAGGCAGGAGAATCGCTTGAACCTGGGAGGCAGAGGTTGCAGTGAGCTGAGATCATGCCATTGCACTCCAGCCTGGGCGACAAAAGTGAAACTCCATCTCAAAACAAAACAAAATAAAACAAAACACAAAACAAAACAAAACCAGAATATATATAAGGAGCTCAAACAACTCTATAGGAAAAAAATCTACTAATCTGATTAAAAATGGGCAAAAAACCTGAATAGACATTTCTCAAAAGAAAATATACAAATGGCAAACAGGCATATGCAAAGGTGCTCAGCATCATTGATCATCAGAGAAATGCAAATCAAAACTACAATGAGAAGTTAAAATAGTTTTTATTCAAAAGTTAGGCAGTAACAAATGCTGGTGAGGATGTGGAGAAAAAAGGACCCTCATACACTGCTGGTGGGAATGCAAATTAGTACAACCACCATAGAGAACAGTTTGGCAGTTTCTCAAAAAAAACAAAAGTAGAGCTACCGTATGATCTCGCAATTCCACTGCTGGGTATATACCCAAAAGAAAGGAAATCAGTATATCCGAGATAGCTGCACTCCCATATTTGTTACAGCACTATTCACAATAGCCAAGATTTGGAAGCAACCTAACTGTCCGTCAACAGATGATTGGATAAAGAAAATGTGATACATATACACAATGAAGTACTATTCAGCCGTAAGAAAGAGATCCTCTCGTTTGCAATGGCATGAATGGAACTGGAAGTCATTATGTTCAGTGAAATAAGTCAGACACAGAAAGACAAACTTCTCATGTTCTCACTTATTTTTGGGAGCTAAAAACTAAAATAACTGAACTCATGGAGAGAGAGAGTAGAAGAATGATTATTGGAGGTTAGAAAGGGTAGCAGAGGCAGGGAGGTAGTGGGGATAGATAATGTGTACAAAAAGATGGAAAGAATGAATAAAACCTTGTAGTTGCTAGCACAACAGGGTGACTATAGTCAAAAATAACTTACTTGTACATTTTAAAATAACTAAAAAACTATTGTTTTGTAACACAAAGGATAAATGCTTGAGGAGACGGATACCCCACTTTCCCTGATGTAATTGTTACGCATTGCAGGCCTATAGCAAAATATTTCATGTAACCCATAAATATATAGACCTATTATGTACTCACAAAAATTAAAAACGAAAACATTTTAAAAAGAACCTTACAATAGTAAATATTTCCATTTCCCCACTCTCAACATTTGTCTCGTTATGCATTTACTTTTACATGTTATAAATGCCATGTTGCATTGCAATTATTTTCATGTTAACGGTAAATTATCTTTAACAGAATTTCAAATAATATTTAAAAATCTTGTTTACCATGCAGTTACCATTTCTAATGTTTTTAATTACTTTCCATTAATTCATGATTCCATCTGGTGTCATTTTCCTTCTGTCTGACCAAGTTCCTTTAGTGTTTCTTATAGTGTGGTGTGCCAACTAAGAATTCCCTCAGTTTTTATGTATTTTTTAAAGTTCTTATTTTGCTCTTGCTTTTGAATGATCTTTTTGCTGAGATATAAACTCTAGGTTGACAGACTTTTCTCTCTTTCAGTCCTTCAGAGGTGTCATTCTTGTTTCTTTTCTTTTTCCTTTTTGTTTCTTCTTGTGGCTCCAGCTCCTGCTGCTTTTTAAAGTTTTCGTTTATCTTTTTTTTTTTTTTTTTTTTTTTTTTGAGACTGAGTCTCACTCTGTTGCCCATACTCAAGTGCAGTGGCTCCATCTTGGCTCACTGCAACCTCTATCTCCCAGGTTCAAGTGATGCTCCTGCCTCAGCCTCCCAAGTAGCTGAGATTACAGGTGCCTGCCACCATGCCCAGCTAATTTTTGTGTTTAGTAAAGACGGGGTTTCACCATGTTGGCCAGGCTGGTCTGAAACTCCTGACGTCAGGTGATCCACCTGCCTTGGCCTCCCAAAGTGCTGGGATTACAGGTGTGAGCCACCGCACCTGGCTTAAGTTTTTCTTTATCAAAAGGTTTGAGCTCTTAGATTATAACATGCCTTGATATCATTTTCTTCATGTTTCTTGTATTTGGGGCCCATTGGGCTTCTTCAATCTGTAGCTTCATATTCATCATTATTTGTAAAACACATTGTATAAATGTTCAATCTTTTAAAATGTATTACACTTGAAAACCAGCATATGGTCTATCCTAATGAACGTTCCATGGGTTCTTGAAAAAAAAAAATCAGTATTCTACATACAGTTCTTGGTGTCAAAGTGCCTTATAATGTTGTTCAGATCTTTATCCTTACTACTTTTGTTCTAACAGTTTTATCAATTACTGAGAGCATAAAAACCATAGTTGTAGGGCTAGGTGGTAGCTCACACCTGTAATCCCAGCACTTGAGAGGCCAAGGTAGGAGGATCACTTGAGCCCAGGAGTTTGAGACCAGCCTGGGCAATATAGTGAGACCCCATCTCTACAAAAAATGGCAAAATTAGCTGGGCATGGTGGCATGTGCCTGTAGTCCCAGCTACTCAGAAAGCTGATGCAAGAGGATTGCTTGAGCCCAGGAGTTACCAGGCTACAGTGAATTGTGATTGTGCCTCTGCACTCCAGCCTGGGCAACAGATTAAGACCCCGTCTCAAAAAACAAAAACAAAAATAGAAACTATGGTTGTGGATTTATCTATTCCTCCATTTATTTCTGTCAGTTTTTGCTTCATGTATTTTGAAGCTCTGTTATTACCCACATTCACATTTATTATTATATGTGTTAAAAATTTTATCATTCTTTTATTGTCCTCATGAACTGGACCCACTTTTTGTAATGAAGTGTGTTTATCTCTGATAATACTTCTTGTCTCAAAGTCTATGTTATCATCAGATAATATGGCCATTCCAGCTTTCTCATAATTAGTGCTTTTGCCTAATCTCTATCCTTTTACTTTTAACCTATGTCTTTGTGTTTTTAAGTATTGCTTGTAGACAGCAGAAAATTAGCTCTTATTCCTTTAACCAGTCTGATAATTCCTGCCATTTAATTGAAATGGTTAGTTCATTTACATTTAACATTACTTTAATACATTTAACATGACTTTAATGGCCATTTTGCTATGTGCTGTCTATTTGTCCTGTTCTTTTTTTCTGTTTTTCTTGTCTTTTTTGTGGTTAATTTTTTTTAGTATTCCATTTTAATTACTTTATTGGATTTTTCCTATTTCCAACATTTTATTTTGAAAAATTTCAAACGTACTAAAAAGTTGAAAAGTTTTACAACTTTTAAAATTTGTATACCCCGTACTTTCTTTGTAAACCTGCTTTCACTTAAAAAAAAAAAGTTGTATTCCCCATATACCCACCATTAACATTTTCTACACCTGTAGAAAAGACCTCAATTGGTCAACTCATCTTCCTTATTGGTGCCTTATATCTTTATTTAAACAGAGTAGAGGCAACTACATTTGAAGAGTTGCATTATAGAAATGTAATTCCTAGAACATGGGAAGTGAGAGTCTCATCTTTACATATTTATCAGGCCTTACTGTGAGAGGAAACAGGACCATCTGGACTGTGTCCAGAGGGAGTGACCAGGCACATATAGCAAGCGAACAGGACATACAGAAAGAAACATTTATAAATCATAGCCTTGCAGCCCCGTGGTGGTGGGGTAGGGGCAGGTGGCAAGCTGTTTGTGAGAGAATCCAGGCATCAGTGTTAAATGGATGCTCCAGGGAAACGAATGTTAGTTCTTCAGTAAAAGGAAGAACTAACAGGAAAAGGAACCATACATGAGCAAGACTTCCTTAGGAGAGAGTAAACTTCCCATCACTGGATGTATGCAAGCATTCTCTCATTCAACAGATGTTTATTGAGCCTTTTAGGTTCAGACATTGGGCTAGGCACTGCAGATAGAGTGGTGAACAAAACAGGCAGGGGTTCTTTGTCTTCATGGAGGAGGTTAGTATTAAACAATCCCACAGATAAATACATAACCATCAATGGTGATTTATGCTGGAGATTGGCTATGGCAGGAATTGGAGAGCAGGAGTAAATGCTTTCTGACTCTGAGACTCAGCAGTGTAGAATCACGGGAAGCACTACATAAGTGGTGGCTTTTATTATTATATTATCATTAACATTATCATTTGTTTTATTATTCATTCATTTCACATTTTCCGAGCACTCACCTTGGGCTGTGCAAGGAGATGAAGCTGCAAGGGATAGAAGCCTTGCCCTCCAAGTGGAAGGGCCATCCAAGGGCCATGATTAGAAACCAGGAGTCCCTGGAGGCACTGTCCGCCTAGGAAGCGGTAAAGGAAATCCGGGGGTGGGAGTGGGGACGGGGGGCGGGGGTGCTTCCTGGGACAGTGGGAGTGAGTTGGATCTTGAAGGAAGAGTGGGAGGAGACTTGAAGGATCGAAAGTGGGCAAACTGTTGGTATCAATTCCCCTCACACTCCCCTTCAGATCTCCAGGAAACCTGACAAATGCGAGGTGTCCCCTCCTCTCTCCAACCCCTTTCCCCTTCTCCTTCCTCTACCCCTTCCCACTTGGTGAGGGTTCAGCTCAGCTGGGCCCCTTAGCCAATTAACACTCTTTGCATCTGAAAAGCTCAAATCGGCTCCTCAGAGGTGTTAGAGATCAGAGTAATTAAGGTCTCTTTCTAATGCAAATCTAAACCAGAAATTGGATGTTTGTCTCCTTGGGAAATTAGGGTCCCCAGTTCTACCAGGAGCTAGTCAAACTCAGCAGGGGGAGGTGATGGCTTCAAGAAGCCAATTTATTTGGATGCTCTCCAGAAATATTTGATTCAATTAAATCAAACTGACTCCACATGGCAGTGAGAGTGATCTTTAAAGCAAAATCAGATCCCAACTCTCCCCTGGTCTTTGATTCACTCTAAATAAAGTCCAAGCCCCTCACCACAGTCTTGAGACCCAGCCTAATCGGCCCCTGCCTTTCCTCCAGCCTCATCTCAGGCCCCTTTATTAAGTGCTTGTCACACTTTGTGATTATTTTATTTACTGGCTGCCCTTCCCCACATCATTAAGTAAATACATCCCTGTTGTTGTTCACCCTGGAGCACAATATATAAAGTTGTCCAAGTGAAAAACAGCTCCATTGCAAATCAGCACTTGCAATTTGGAATGTGCCCTAGAGCCATTCAGAGGAGGACTTGTATTCAAAACCACCTCAACACCGTCTTTCCCTTCTCTGCCCTGTGGCACTAGCTGTCACTGACCTCTAGTTCTATCCTGGGTTCCCTTTTCTGGAGGATAACTGCTCATCTCTTTGAGATCCACCTCAGCTTCCTGAGTACTCTTCCTATATGGCTACTAAAAACTAGCCAAACATATTCTCACAAACACACCCTCCCAATGCAAAGGAAATTCCTCCAGACATAGAAACAGACAAAGAGAAATAGTGTTTAACTAAGTCATTTATTGTTCTTTTTCCTGTCTCCCCAGTTGGAATACATGCTTCAGGAAGGCAGGGACGTGTGTCTATCTTGGTTACCATCCTATCCACAATGCCCAGAGCAGTGCCTGACACTTGATGGATGTTCTAGAAATCTGTTTTAAATACATGGATTTTTCTGAAACTGCCTATGTATAAGCATGGTGTCAGCACTATGGGTGCAGAGGAGGACAAACCCAGATTCAGCCGTCAATAGCTCATAACCTAGTGGGGAGACCCCCTAGAGCCAATGACTCCTTTGTTGACTGAGCACTTGTGTCCCCCCTACAGTGGAGTCACACCATAAGTTCAAGACATAAGCAAATTCCACCATATGAGTTTGGGGGAAAGAAAAGCAGCAAGAAATGACCATCTTCCCAAGGTGGGCAATTCCACTCAGCAATTACACCCCAAAATGGGCACAAAGTGGGAGACATGAATTGAGGTCTCTCCATACAGAGGGGAAAGGCTGTGCAGACACAAGGGCATGAGGCCACATGCCAGGATAGGCATTGGAGAAAAGGAAAGGGAGAAGAGAGTAAGTCACAGTGGTAGTGATAACTAATAGCAGCTGCCATTTATTGAGTGGTTACTATGTGCTGGCTGAGTATCATGCTAAATGCTTTATGCACATGTACTGTGTGGTCCTCACAACTACCTGGAGTAGAAATACTCTTATTATCAAGAAGTTGATTGTAGCCACATTATGGAGGGCCTGCGGCATCATGTCAGAGAGACTCGAGTGTACTGATGGGGTCGGGGAGGAACAGGAAGTGTTTCAGATTTGGTTCTTAGATTTAGGCTGCAACAAAGGGATCTAAAAGCCCAACCTTCTGCACCAGGTGAATTCACCCTCAAGTCAGTCTAAACTGACATCCTCATGGGAGATTCTAGTGTCCAGGAAGGCCCAGAGACCAGGGATGGCTTGAGAGGTTGACTAGGCCAGCAGATGGTGCAGAGGAGATCAATTCACAGCCCTCTCTCTTGTCCCAGCCTCACGCACTCAGGCTCTCAGAGGAAGCTGGTTAGGGATCCTGGTCTGAGCCCTTAATATGCAGAGGGAAGACTGAGGCTTGGGAATGAGAAGGGACCCACCTAGGGTCAGTGGATGCATGAGGGAGCAGCACATGGAATAATTCTTCCAAAGTTCTGGTAGCAACTTTCTCTTTTTCTCCTAGTTCATTTTTCTCCAGTGACTCAGGAATTGCAGATCCGATGTCAATGTCGTCTTCCCCTACTCCTCCTTCTTCTCCCCACCTACCCCAGCAGGACAATCAAGGGTGAGAAGACAATGAATACTGAAATCTTTTGTCTCCCAAAAGGTCACAGTTCTGCAGACAGAAAAGCAGTCACCATTTCTCGGGAAGATGCTGTTTGCCTCAATAATGTTAGTCCCTTGGTTACGCTAGTCCCTTTTAACATAAAATAAAAAGAACAAGAACCAAGTTTCTCAGCTGTCAAAGCCTTGTCCCAAGTATCCCCTCATTGGACTCACACAGTAGCACTGAGAATGAGGCAGCACAATACTTGTCCTTCCAGTGCACGAAAAGGAAACTGAAGCATAGAGAAGGGAGGGGCTGTTCAAAGTCCTCCCTCATCCCAGGTTTTCATATGCCCAGGACGGTGACTTGCCATTATCCCAGACTGCCTCATTGAGTTTCTCAGCTCACTCTGACATAAAACCTAGCAGGGACACGGGTCCAGTCTTTCTGGGCAGCAGTGCTAACAAGATGTTCCAGGAGTTTTTACAGTGCTCATATATTTTAATCCTCTCCTGGAAGTCTAGCTTAATAAAATCATTTGAAAATAAGCAAAAACCAATGCAAAAGGATGCCTTCCCAACCCAGATACTTATTCTGGGAGAACTGTGAAAAATTGGATGCAACATAAATAGTCAACAATAGGGTGTCTCCATATGATGGGAAATCGAGCAGCCATTAAAAATGGTATTTGTGAATAATTTTCATGACATGGCAGAAATGCCATTAAGAAGTATAGCTTCAGGCCGGGCGTGTGGCTCATGCCTGTAATCCCAGCACTTTGGGAGGCCGAGGCAGGCGGATCACGAGGTCAGGAGATGGAGGCCATCCTGGCTAACACAGTGAAACCCCATCTCTACTAAAAATACAAAAACAAAATTAGCTGGGTGTGGTGATGGGCACCTGTAGTCCCAGCTACTCGGGAGGCTGAGGACGGAGAACAGTGTGAACCTGGGAGGTGGAGCTTGCAGTGAGCCAAGATTGCGCCACTGCGCTCCAGCCTGGGCGACAGAGTGAGAATCCGTCTAAAAAAAAAAAAAAAAAAAAAGTACAGCTTCATTCAAAAGTATAGAATATATGCATGCATAAAAGAAGACATGGAAGGAAAATTATGACAATGTTAGCAGTGGTCCCTCTGGTTGTTGGGGTAGTAGGCAAGCATAGCTTCTCTTTTCTGAACTCTTTACAAGTTTATTTATTCAACAACTGTCTATTATGTCTATTAAGCATTTTCCAAGGCCAGGCCCAGTGCCTGGCCTTGGGGATCTTATGGTGAACTGTGGAGGCCAATTATCTGCCATCTGGAGCCTGTGGCCCAGTAGGGGTGACAGAAAGTAACTAGGCAATCATAGATCCAAGGGATAAAAGCCATGAAGTGGCCAGTACAAGGTGGCATGGGGTGACATAGCAAAGATACATATCTCTGCTTTTATAATTGAGGAGTGTTAATCTTTAAAAGGCTAACCCGCCATAATGAAGATGTTTAAATATTTTAAAGAGCTCTGCAACAGCAGAGGCAGCTGGTAGGGGAAAGGCCTGTGCGGGGAGAAACCCCTGGCCAGCCCCTTCCTTTCTCTGTGTGGTGGGGACCAAGGATGGAGGACTAAGCATCCCTGCTTTATATTGCAACACCATTTTTGCAAGTATTCCTCAAGGGACAAGATTCATCCAGCCAGAAAGCAGTGGGATTTGCCTCCTAGCAGGGGCCAAGCTACACCTGACAGTATCCAGGGTCATTTTCTACCACCCAAGGGTACAGAGACAGGCCTCTAGTTAACCCCTGAGATGCTGGACTTCTCAATGCCTGTAACACTCTGGAAAGAGTTTACAAGTGAAGAAGTTCCTCACAGGAGGCAGATGCACACAGCAGCAGGGCCCTGAGGGTCCTGGAGGTATTCGCTCTGCCCCATCATCTCATCAGCTACCCATTCATAGATTATCTTGCTTTGGGGTAAGACATTGCCTTGCATCTCTTCCTAGTGGATGAGTCTTCTGGAAAGATAATATTCATTTTACATATGTTTTTGGAGTTCTTTTTTTTTTTTTTTTTTTAATCACATATCACTATAGCTCTTGCTACTCTCTATCAAAAGCTTGGGCCAAAATGAAATCATGTCATTCCTGTTTTCCAGCCCCTGTACTGGAAATTTACTCACACTGTACCTTCTCTCTGGAGTTCCTTTGCCCATCTCTTTGTGTCCAAATCCTACCACTTGGTCAAGGCCCAATTCAGATGCTCCCTCTTTTCAGGTCCTCCTTCATTTAATCATCAAGCATTATTGGTGTCAGGCACTGGGTTAGGCACTAAGAGTACATTTACATTAAAGCTGCCCTTGTCCTAAAGTAAATCAGTCTATAGGTGGGAAATATGGGTGATATAGTCTGGTTGTGTCTCCTTACCCAAATGTCATGTTAACTTACAGTCCCTGTGTTGGAGATGGGGCCTGGTGGGAGGCGACTGGATCACGGAAATGGATTTCTTATGAATTGTTTAGCAACAACTCCTATGTGCTCTCCTTGCAGTGAGTGAGTTCTTGTGAGATCTGGTTGCTTAAAAGTGTGTGGCACCCCCTCAACTCTGCTGCTTCTGCTTTCATCATGTGAAGTGCCTGCTCCCCCTTTGCCTTCTGACATGTTTGTAAGTTTCCTGAGGCCTTTCCAGGAGCCAAGCAGATGCCAGCATCATGCTTCCTGTACAGCCTGAAGAACCGTGAGCTAATTAAACGTCTTTTTTGTTTGTTTGTTCATTTGTTTTTGTGGCTGGAGTGCAGGGTGCGATCTTGGCTCACTGCAACCTCCACCTCCTGGGTTCAAGTGATTCTCTTCCCTCAGCCTCCCAAGTAGCTGGGACTACAGGCCCCACTACCATGCCTGGCTAATGTTTTGTATGTTTAGTAGAGATGGGGTTTCACCATGTTGGCCAGGCTGGTTTCGATCTCCTGACCTCAAGTGATTCACCTGCCTCAGCTTCCCAAAGTGCTAGGATTACAGGTGTGAGCCACCATGCCCAGCCTAAACTTCTTTTCTTTATAAATGACTCAGTCTCAGGTGTTTCTTTATAACCATGTGAGAATGGACTAATACAATGGGCAAAACTAAAAGGAAATGAACATACTTCATAATACCATGTCATATATGGTAACAATAGATTTATAGATATACATACAGATAGATATATAGATATAGATATATGGCATCCAAACATCTCAGAAAAGTGGGTATGAGTTACTTCAGGGGAGAGGAGAGTACATTGATACAATGCCTGAGCTGGGTTTTGACAGATGAGTAGGAATTTCCTAGGCAGACAAAGGAGAGGAGAATGGCATTCCAGGCAGAGGGCATACCAGGTGCAAAGGCATAGAAAGGTGAACCAGCATGATGCATTTGAAGAGCTACAAGTCATTTGGGGTCATTGCTAAGGTATAAAGTAAAAAGGGAGATATGGAGGCACCAAGAGAAAAGTAGCAGGGCCAAGATGGTGGAAGATTTCACCTGGATTTTATGCCTCAAGCCACAGGGGATCAGTGGACCAGTGCTGGAGTTTAAATAGAAGAATGAGGCATCAACTTCCGCCATGTAATAAGCAACCTCAATGTCAGTGGCTTAAAGCAACAATCAGCATTTATGGCTTATGCATCTGGGGTTGGCTGGGGCTTAGCTGATTTGGGCTGGGCCTTGCTGAAGTGACTTGGCTCTTCTCCATATATGTCTTGTCTTCCTCCTGGAACTGCTGGGCCAGCCTGGGCATGTCTTGCTCATGGCAATGACAGAGGCACAAGAGCACGGAAAGAAACATGCAAGGTGTCTTGAGGCCTGGGCTCAGAACTGGCACGTTGTCACTTCCACCTCATTCTGTCCACCAAACAAAGTCACATGACCCAGTCTAGATTCAAGAGGAGGGGAACCAGTGAGAGCTCCTGCCAAGTCATATGACAAAGTTCATGGCTATACGGAGGACTGGAGAGTCAGGTCCATCCATGCACTCTACCACAAGCCATGTGATCAGGTCTCTGCATTAGGTCACTAGGTAGCTATGTGGAGGGTGGATTACAGGGGATAAGGCAGTTTCAGAGATTCAGGCAGGAACTGAACAAATGCCCTAGGATCTCACAACCTGCTCTTTCTATCTATTCTATGTACTGGGATTTAGCCAGATTACACAAAAGGAAAGCTTATCTTTGGCCTTTTGTTCAATTCTAAGAACTCAGCCTGAGCACTTTGGTGCTTGCACCAGTGCATAAGAAGGCTTTGAAATAAACAGATATTCAATAAACTAGTGAACAAGAGTTTTCTTTATCTTGGAATAGACATCTCTGAGACAAAAACGGACCTGAGCTGCAATATTGGATAAGCCCCACTGATCACAAGAAAACCTAACATAGGTAATTGACTATTGGCAAATGCAACAGAACCAAATAAAGCAAATAATTAACAATTATTGTACTCAGAGGTAAAGGAACTACAAATCTAGGCTGCCTCGGCATTTGTCCTAGGCATCAATAAGAACAAAGTGTTTGTTAGTGGGTGAGTAACCCAGGTGTGAAATTCATTTTATTAGACCAGATCTAAAAATAGGCTTGAACCAGAGAGTGGAAAAGAACACAATTTATCCCCACTTGCTCACTGGGGCACCCAGGGAATAAATTAAAGGCGCTGTTTTTTGTTTACAAAGGGGGAATTGTGGTAGATTGTTTGCAGAAATGACCACAGTTACTTCCCTTTCTGTGTCTCTGCTACTTTGCAGATGTGACTTTGTAACTCTTCCTATCAAAAGTGGTGTCCTCAAGTCTTGAGTCTGTGACTAGTTTTGGCCAATAGAATGTGGCAGAGGTGACACTGTACTAGTTCCAAGCCCAAGCCTCAAGAGGCCTTGCACACCGCCACCTGCTTTCTTGGGACCCTTGTCTTCATGATGTGAACAAACCCAGGCTAAGCTGCCAGCGGATGAGAGTTCATGAGTCAGGCCAGTTGTCCCAGCCAAGACCTTAAACATACACAAGAGCTCAGCCCAAACTAGCAAAACCAAACTGCAGCTGCCCCACATCTAGCTACAAAAGCAAGAGGAATTCTAGCTGAGTTCAGAAAACCTGCCAGCTGAGCCCAGCCTAAACAGCCAACCTACAGAATCTTGAAGTAAATACATGGTTGTTATTTTAAGCTACTAAGTTTTAGAGTGATTTGTTACACAGCAAAAGGTAACTGATATCGGAGTATTCTGGATCAGGCCAGGTGCATTGGCTCACACCTATAATTCCAGCACTTTGGGAGGCTGAGGCAGGCAGATCACTTGAACTCAGGAGTTCAAGACTGGCCTGGGCAACATGGCCAAACCTCATCCCTACACACATACACACAAATACAAAAATTAGCCAGGCTTGGTGATGCATACCTGTGGTCCCAGCTACTTGGGAGGCTGAAGTGGGAGGATGGGTTGTGCCCGGGAGGCAGAGGTTGCAGTAAGCAGAGATTGCACCACTGCACTCCAGCCTAGGTGACAGTCAGATCTTGTCTCAAAAAAATAATAATAAAATAAAAAGGCCAGGTGCAGTGGCTCATGCCTGTAATCCCAGCACTTTGGAAGTCCAAAGCAGGCAGATCACCTGAGGTCGGGAGTTCTAGACCAGCCTGACCAACATGGAGAAACCCCATCTCTACTAAAAATACAAAATTAGCCAGGCATGGTGGCTCATGCCTGTAATCCCAGCACTTTGGAAGTCCAAAGCAGGCAGATCACCTGAGGTCGGGAGTTCTAGACCAGCCTGACCAACATGGAGAAACCCCATCTCTACTAAAAATACAAAATTAGCCAGGCATGGTGGTGCATGCCTGTAATCCCAGCTACTCAGGAGGCTGAGGCAGGAGAATCGCTTGAACCCGGGAGGCAGAGGTTGCGGTGAGCCAAGATCATGCCATTGCACTCCAGCCTCGGCAACAAGAGCGGAACTCCATCTCAAAAAAAAAAAAAAAAAAAAAAAAAAAGTTTTCTGGATCAAAACAGCTAGAAATACACCAGAAAAAATTATGACAACTGCTACCAATTACTGGGCATCTACTTACTGTATACTGAGAAACTTGTGTATCTAAAACTGTTAGGTACTTCACTTACATCACATTAACTCATCTTTGAAACCCTGCAAAATAGAGTTATTTTCACCATTTTGTAAATGAGTACATGAGGAAACTGAAGCTAGGGAGACAGTTTAAGTAACTTGCCCAAGGTCACACAGCTACTGTGTAGGTTTGCAAACATAGTCCTAGACGAGTGGGGCCTCTCAGAGGCTGAGAGAAGCCTGGGCCACTTCCAATTTTTAAGGTGCCTAACATACTGATAAATGAAGATATGAAGAAACAATTACCAAAATTGTGATATACAGTCAGTCATGCATCGCTTAACGGTGTGGGATATGTTCTGAGAAATTCATCCTTAGGTGATTTTGTTGTTGTGTGAACATCATAGAGTGTACTTACATAAACATAGATGGCAGAACTATGTGCCTAGGCTATATGGTATAGCCTATTGCGCCTAGGCTACAAACCTGTACAGCATGTGACTGTACTGAACACTGCAGGCAACTGTAACAGAGTGGTAAGTATTTGCATATCTAAACATAGAAAAGGTACAGTAAAAATACAGTATTATAATCTTGCGAGACCACCATCAAGCATGCAGTCCTTCATTGACCAAATGTTGTTATGTGGTGCATGCCTGTATTTTAAATCTTTACATTTATCAAATGAGCACTTTCAATATAAAAAAAGAAGGCAATGAGATATTGCTAATCACAAGATAATTCCAGTATGTATTTTAAAAGCATATTAATTTATAAGGTACTACAAATGGTGTGGTTCAGTAATGGGATGCAAATGTTACTTTGGTGAACATTTCCTACTTTGATCTGGTGAATGTACCTCTCTGATGGGACATATAACTTCCTTTGGAGGTGCTATAGTTCTATCTGTTTGACCCCTCAAAATCTCATGTTGCAATTTGATCCCTAGTGTTGGAGGTGGGGCCTAGTGGGAGGTGTTTGAGTTATGAGGGCAGATTCCTCATGAATGACTTGGTGCCATCCTCATGGTAATGAGTGAGTTCTTGCTGTATTAGTTTCCTGGAGAACTGGTTGTTAAAAAGAGACTGGTACCTCCTGCCCCACCATGTGATCTCTGCCCACACAGGGCAGCAGCATCTGCTTCTGGTGAGGGCTTCAGGTTTTCTCATGGCAGAAGGTAGAGGGGAGCCTGAGTGTGCAGATATCACCTGGCTAGAGAGGAAACCAGAGAGGGGGAAGGAAGCACGATGTTTCTTGTACATCCTGCAGAACCATGAGCCAAATTAACCTCTTTTTAAAATAAATTACCAAGCCTCAGGTATTCCTTTATAGCAACACAAAAATGGGTAAAGACAGGAGATAACATCAAAAGATTAAATATAAGCTCTTTCATGAGGTCAGGCCCAGCCATGGGGCCCACCTGGCCATTGCCTGACCTCAGCCCAGCCCCCATGAAAGGCCTGAGCATGAGCCAAAGGAATTCATCCTATAGCATCAAGCAGCCCTCAGCTGAGAAATGAGCTCCCAGAGAGGGTTCTTATGGAAACAAGTCTCTGCTCTCATCAGAGAATTGAGCCATCTTTGTTTTATGTCACAAAATGATTATATTCTGGGATGTTTCACTCCATTGTGTCCAGGCTTACCCTGAACCAAGAAAAGTAGAGATTCACCAACATTGCCAGTATAGACGTAGAGAAAGGGATAGGAGATGCAGGGCTCTATGTGGTTCAGAGGGTTGAGAAGGCATCTCAGAGATTACTCTGTGGCTCAATCTTGGAACATGAATAGGAGTCTGCTGGGTGGAGAAGATCATTACAGGTGGCTGGAATAGCACTGGCAAAGGCATAGGGTTAAGAAAGCACGCGGCAGACATGGGAATGGTACAGAGGCCAGCGTGACTGTAGCCAGGGGTGGGTGGGGAGAGTGGAAGCAGACAGAGCTAGAGGAGAGATTGGGGAAATACTGGAGAGAGTGTTGTACCTGAGAAGGCCCGGCCAGGTCTCTCTCCCTTGAGGGATGCAGTCTTTTGCTTCCAAAGAGTAATCTCAGCCCTAGAGTGCAGCTGTGTGCCCAGAATAAATCCCTGTGGGATGCATTCCATCCACTCCTTGCAGCAGGTCTTTTCAAAAGATTTCAGCAGCCTCTTGTTTGCCTATAGCTCTTATGCAAGCTGCTGCAGGCCAGGTGTTCCTTGGAGCCTAAATTCTGCATTTCCCATCTGTATCATTTACAAACCAACCTGGATATCTCCCTGCTTCTAGACAAATCTGAGGTCTTTTACATAGGTCAATCTGTTGAGAAAAGAAAAATGTAATGAGGTTCCGGCCAGGTACAGTGGCTCACTCCTGTAATCCCAGCACTTTGGGAGGCTGAGGCAGGAGGATCACCTGAGGTCAGGAGCTCAAGACCAGCCTTGCCAACATGGCAAAACCCCGTCTCTACTAAAAATACAAAAATTAGCCAGGCATAGTGGAACACACTTATAATCCCAGCTATTTGGGAGGCTGAGGCAGGAGAATCGCTTGAACCCAGGAGGCAGAGGTTGCGGTAAGCTGAGATCACGCCACTGCACTCCAGCCTGGGTGACAGAGCAAGACCCCAGCAGAAAGAAAGAAGAAAAGAAAGAAAGAAAGAAAGAGAAAAAACAGAGAGAGAGGGAGGGAGGAAGGAAGGAAGGAAGGAAGAAGAAAAATGTAATGAGGTTTTGAAATAACAAAGTCAGTTCCCTGATAATTTTACAGGCTTGAGAGTAAAGAAAGGCCAAGAAGGTTGGTTTGAAGGCAGAGAACAACTAAGGTGGCCTAGAATCGTCACATCTTGGCACCTAGAGCCATCAGGGTTCTCTGAGACCATCTGGTCCAAGGACGGCAAATATATGGCACATGTGCCATCCTCCCCACATCTGGTGTCCAGGGCAGATGTTGTTAATCTATTGCTACACACTTTTTAGCCAAGCATCTCCCCATCAAGCACATTCAGCTCATAAGTGAAAGCCAATTGATCATTCCTGATGGTTTCCATTACCCCCATTTCATAGATGAGAAAATGGAGGCACAGGGAGGTTAAGGGGTTTGTCCAAGGAGAGCTTTCAGTTCCTCCCCACCATTTCCACATGGTTTGTGGAAGACAAACACTTTTATGCCTCAACTGTAATAAGGGAATGAGTCCAGCACCTGGGATAGGGTTTTAAAAGCAACAAAATTTTTTTCCATTTCCAGTTCCAGTTGTTATATGACAATGCTTTGAAATGTATATTTTTATTATCATAATAAAAGAACACATAAACAGTTAGTAAGTTGTGTCCACACACTTAATAAAGGCCTAAGGAATTTATTCATTCACCCAAGGGCCAGGCAGTGTACTGGGTATTGAGTTTATGAGGACACCAAAGACATCCCAGGGGCCCAGGGAACTGAAATGTCCAAATCTGATATTCTGCTTAGTTGGGAGAGGTGAGAGCTGGCCTCACAAGCAGGTACAGTGCAACTCCCTTCCCAGGGATGAAAAGGACCCAGAGGTTCCACACATGCCACCCCTCACTCGGTCCTCTATACAATATTTTCTAGAGCCCCTGACAGGCCCCTGTTCACACACCTCCAGGGATCACTACTTCCCAAGACTGCCAACTGTATCTTCAGCTGGTTCTACCCACTACAAATTCTTCCTTTTGCTGAAAGGGAATGAGCCTCCCCGTGACTTCCACCAAACTGGCCCTGCCTTTGTCCTGTGAGGAACTAGTTTTCCGAGGACCTAAGAGAGAATGTTGTGGGGGAGGGGTCTCTTGTAAGAGAGAGACAAAGCCAAGAGGAAAGGAAAGGCACTAAAACCATCCTTCCCAATTTACCGTGTGGCAAGACCATTTCCTATCCCCACGCATAATTCTTAAGCATATCAGTGGAACATCATCTTGCCCATTCTGCCCTGGTACATGCTGAGATCCTCGTAAATCCCAGCTCCTGCCGAAGACCCAAAATGCATTGTCTATGGGATCCTGTACAAGAGAGCTGGTTGCTATGGTAACAACTGGAGGTAAATTTCCTAGCACCCCCAACTAAACTATTAATCAGAAAGATGAGGAAAGAGTCAGGGTGGTCAATAAATTAGGGAAGAAATTGGCTCCTACCGGGAAGCACACAGAGCAGGGCCACCCCACCCCACCCCACCCCCACCCCCACCCCCACCCCCGCTGAGGCCTCACTCTTCCCTCCCTTTGATCTTCTGATGCAGGAGGAGAAGCAGCCAGAGCCTGAGGGGAAACCTGCCTCCATTCTCCTCTCCAACTCTTTGTTTCTCATCCTGGTGGAGTCAGAGAGGTTCCCAAGTGGAAGCTGCACCCGGCATCTCATCAGTGAGGGCCCCAGTTAGCAGGAACATCAAAGGTAGAAATGCTGGAACCTGAAAAAAAGAATGCTCTGTCCAGCTTGAAAGAAGCATTCTACTGAAGTGTGGTGATAAGATCCGGATTAGAATCAGCATTGATGGATCATAGAAGGATTAAAGTGACAGGGTCCCAAATCTTCACAAAACGTTTGCAGATTTGTTTGTTTGGGTTTTTTCCAAGGACTTTATCTTCCTTGCTTTAATGTTTATCCTTGGCTGTCTTAATAAGGAGTGGTATGGAAAACCCTTGTGATGCCTCCTCCAAGTGAACTAGATCCACCAGTTCTCATCATGCAGCCCTCTGCTGCTGTGGGGGGAGGGGGTGGGCAGCTTGCTCTAATTATAGGAAACACTCCTGGGAGAAAACACACCCTTTGCACACAGAATCCTGCAAAGGGAATGTACATTCCTCTCTATTCTTTGGTACAATCTCTCCCAGGGTTGCTTTTTAGATGGCATTGTGCCTCCCTTGTTCCCCACTTTTCTTGTCCAAGGATGCCATCCTTGATTAAGCCCACCTTTCTCATAGAAGGAAAAACGGGGGATTGTCCGGGAAGGATCCCATGTTAGGCTTTGTATGAAAGCCCATCACTCCTATTAACACTGTGACTTTGACCTCAATTGGCCCAGGCTCTTCCTGTTCCTCAAGGAGAGGGAAGCAAGTGCACTGGGGAAGATCAGCCCTGGCTTCACTGCAAACTCATCATAGGACCTTGGGCAAGGCCCTTCCTGTGTCTGGGCCTCAGTTTGCCAAACGGTGCAAGAAAGAGCCTCAAAGACTGTAACAGAGGCCAGCTCCAAAGGCCTCTTTGGTACTCTCTGGCTCTAAAATTAAATTTTCTCAAGTGAGAAAAGAGGAAAGGAAGCTGATGAGAGGATAGAAGGGAGCTTTCCACCCTGGAGGCAGGAGGTAGAGGTGGAGAGGCTGAATTAAAGCCATAAAGAGAAAATAGGGAGGCACCGGCCTGTCTCCCCCACCACACACACAAAGGATCCTGCACACAGAGCAGGTCCTTAGGAAAAGCCACTGGCTGCATAAGCCGCTTTGGCTGCTGCCTCTGTTAAGGAAGCATCTCCAGAGAACTGTTTCTAGTCTGTCTGAGCAGGGAGAACCTTGAAGGGTCCTGGAGAAGGGAACGGACTGAGCCGGGGTTTCACAGTGAGCAGGTGGGAGGCAGGACTTGCAAGCACCCTGGCCTCCTGCCTGCAGACTTATGCAGTCTCCAGTGCCCCATGGCCAAATATTCTTGCACTGTCTTCCTTGGATCTTTCCTATGATTTGTGCACATACTGCAGTGAAAATGGCAAAGAGAGATCCTGCAGGGATTGGTAATTTTTCACCGTGGGTGGCACTGAGACTTCCCTGTTCCCTGGAGGAGGGAAATGAAGAGTTGATTAAGTACTCGAAACATCCCTGCCTGTGGACTATTTAATAAGCGCCTCGCCTGTCTCTCAGCCATAGAGCAGACATTTGGTTCGCTAATCCAATTTGGCAAGCCTCTCCCAGGCTGCAAACGCTAGCTGCTGGGCGCCATTTTGTCTGATGTGTTAGAAATCAATGCAGGCTCCCTGCACTTGCTCTCACTACTGCTTGACTGATTACTAACGAGACCTCTCCCTTGCACAAGTCACCGACAGAGAACCCCTCTGTGTTCCAAGAAGCTCTGGGGACCTGGTGATCATCCAGTCATCCCCCTGATTCTCTTAGCAAGGAATCTGAATAAATCAGCAAAAGCAGGTGTGGGACTGCAAAATGTTTTCTTCCTCAACTGAACCAAGCTATGTTTTCCACTTAGCAGGAGGAAGTCTGTAAGAAGGACAATATTTTAGTATCTTCCATAAAAACCACAACAATGGCATTTTCATTTTGATATGTGATAGCTCTTACTCGGACGCAGAATTAGTGCTCGGTGCATCTGTTTCTTTCAACCAACAAGAGCTCTGTTAGTAAGGTTTCTCTTTGCCTTGGCCACCAGGAAGCTTGGATATAAATGCTGGTTCATAGTTTGAGATGCAGGCATATTTCTGCACACTCAGTGAGCTTTCTCACTTCCTTTTTAATAAACATTTTAAAGTCCTATATCATATGTGTTCCTTTAAAAAAATAAATGTGAATTTATCATTTTTCACTACAAACTTGCCTTAAGCTGTTGGAAAGTTCCCTTCTTTCCTTTTTATAGAGAACACTCTTGGAAAAGGAAGATAGAGTGAATGTTTATTTTTTGCCTCCATAATATTAGCTCCTCACAAGGCACAACCAGGATCTTCCTATGGGGTCCAGCACCTCACTCTTAGTCTAGTTGTTCTGGGCACTTTTCTACTCTCTGGCCTAGCAGTGGACATTGTACTTCTTGGGCCATGGTGATGGGGTTTAAGTGACACCTTAACGTAAGGTGGTCCAATAGCAAACATCAGAATTTCTGCTGGAAAATGCTAGGCAAAGATTTCTATCCTTTTCTGCAGGGTCTGAACGTAAAAAGACACAGGCTTAGGGACTGCTAAAAGCCATTTTGTGACCAAAAGGGAAAAGCCTGTCTGAAAATGAGTCAACCTTGAGGAGGAGGAACTGAGAGACAGAAACAGAGGTGCATCCTGACATTACTTGAGCGCCTATATCAAGTTAATCCTGAAGTTTGACAGTGCAGGGATATGAGAGCCAATACATTGACTTTGGGTCTGGTTTCCAGTGACTTACAGCTAAAAGAGTCCTGATAGTTTCTAGAGGTCAGCAAGGGTGTTAACTGCACCTCTGCCTCCAAGTCACCCTATCCCAAGCCCCCTCCTCAGGAGACCCTGTGACCAGTCTGGTATCCTCCCCAGGTAGGCAAAGACAGTCATGGTGTCACTAAAAGCCCCTTTAGTGTCCTGATACAAGTGGGATCAGTCCTTTTTTTTTTTTTTTTTTGAGATGGAGCCTCACTGTCATCCAGACTGGAGTGCAGTGGCACGATCTCAGCTTACTGCAACCTTTGCCTGGGTTGCAGCAATTCTCCAGCCTCAGCCTCCCGAGTAGCTGGGACTACAGGCGCGTGCCACCACGCCTGGCTAATTTTTGTATTTTAGTAGAGACGAGCTTTCACCATGTTGGCCAGGGTGGTCTCAAAGTTCTGACCTCAGGTGATCCACCAACCTCAGCCTCTCAAAGTGCTGGGGTTACAGGAGTGAGCCACCGCTCCCAGCCCAGTCCTTTGTTGATGATCTCTAGGCTTATGTCTGCTGATGGCTTGCAAGTCTATCTCCAGCTGGGTCTCTCTACAGTTCCCCAGCTGGTGCCTCTCGGCACCTTAGCCTCAGCATCTCCCACCACTGTGAAGGCACCTCTGTCCACAGCATCTCTTTTCTCACTCCATTCTGTCACCAACAAATTGATCACCAAGGCCAAGCAGACATCTACCAGATGTCTCTCGAATCCACTTCTGCTTCTAGTTTCCACTGTTTCTGCTTCAATTCAGGTCAAACACTGGTCTCCACATGGAAGCCTCTCCTCCAACTTACTCTCCACGCCTCCATCTGACAACTCCTCCTCAAGTGCTGTCCTTACCTTGCAGCTTCCCTGCTCATAACCCTCGAGGGCTCCCTCCCACCAAACCCCCCATCTGGAATTCAAGACCCTCGTGATCTGATCCCAAACTGTGGAGACTGTAGCAAAAAGCACATCTTTTCCCACAAATACCTCACTTCCCTTCTGCCATATTTTTGTTTACATAGTTTTAATTCCCTCTGTTTCTACTACTGAACTACTACGCATCTGTCAAAACCCAGCTCCAATGCCCCTCCTCTAAGAAAACTTTCTAATTATCCCTCTCTCACCTTAACAGTGGAATTGTAGATTCCCACAGACCTAGAAAAATTATTTTATAAAATCGCATAGGCCACTCTGACAATTTTAGGACCCAGGACAAGTAAAAGAGAACGCTTGTAGCCGACAGTGTCTGTACTCTTCTCTTTCCACCCTCCCCACAACTCCATCCTGCAATGTGAGGAGTCTCGTGCACACAAGCAAGGACCTTCAAGCCCTCACGTCCAAGCTCCACCCCACACCCGCAACAGCCCCTTGCCAACTCCCCCAGTCACTCTTTGGCCATCCCTTGGGGTTGGGGCACCATGGCTTGGGGGAAGAGGCCAATACAGGTCCTGGAAGCAGGCTTGGTCCCTTTGAGCAGGAAATCCCAGGGTGGAGAGTACAGGAGTGAGGTCCAGAGAGTGTGGGCTCTGGGTCGGCCCTCTGCCCTGTGGGGAGGGCACAGCTGGGCCCTCTACAGTCAAGCTGTCACACATCAGTGTGCACACGGATTGGGAGCTCCCACAAGTCTAACAAGCCCCCAGGGCACGAGACGACTGCCAGGCAGCAGCCCATGCCAGGGTCTAAACATGAGACCCGGGTCCAAGGGCGGATGGCAACATTAACTATATGGGGTCTTCTTTGATACATAATGGGTAAAATAAACTTGGAGCTGCAATTCTCCAGAATGCAGCTCAAAAACAGTAAGTTCACAGCAACGGCTTCTGGGTCTCAAAGCTGTGCTGTGCTTTACTTTTACAATTCGGTCTTGCTTACAGATTCTCCAGCAGCCCAGAGAGGCTGTGACTTGGCAGGTCGGTAGATCTGGGACCTCCTGCCTCTACTTCCAGGCCCTTTGTCTGCCTGGTGCTGTGAAGACTGACCAGACCCCGTGGAGCAAGTATTAGAAAGGAATCAGGTCATTTCCTGGGTACACGACTCTGCCAGTGAAAACGAGCCTGCCTGTCACCCCCACAGAGCCAGAACCACCCAAGGTGGAACCTTAAGGATGTCTCCCCAGGGTCTTTGCTTCCCCTGCACCATCTCTCCTGGATCTAATTGTATGTCTGCTTGAGTTGAGGAGTTCCAGACCAGCTTGGGCAACATAGCAAGACTTTGTCTCCACTTTAAAGTTAAAAAAAAAAAAAAAAAAAGCTAGACATAGTGGTGTTCACTATCATCCCAGCTACTCCAGCTACTTGGGAGGCTCAGGCAGCAAGATTGCTTGAGCCTAGGAGTTGAGGCTGCAGTGAGCTATGATCATGCCACCACACTCCAGCCTGGGTGATAGAGCAAGACCTTGTCTCAAAAACAAGAAGATAATTTCTTAAAAATGTATGTCCTCCCTAACTACTCAACCTACTTCTCCCTCAGCAATCTCAGACACAGTTGGGCCTCCTCCCAACTATTTGGCCCCCAGGCGAAAAAAATCTGGCATGAAGGCTGAGAAGCGGAGGAGGGGTAAGAGAGGGCAGAGTTTCCTTCCTTCTTTGTTGTGCCAGGAGTCTTAAACACCCCGTTGAGTTTAAATATGTATATATATTGCCTTAGAGTCACTGATCATCAGGACTGAAAGTACCCTAGTACAATTCTCTCACTTTAATGATGGGGAAACTGAGGCCCAGAGAGGGTGGTAGCTTGCCTGAAGTCCCACAGCAAGTTGGTATGGAGCCATGACTAGGACGTAGGTCTCCTCACTCCAGTCCTGTTCTTGTTCTGCCCCACACTGGCCCTTTGCTAAACTCACCCCTTGCCCCATGTGGCACAGAACAGACCTCCCCCTCTTACTACCTGGGTGAGTTTACAAAAGCCACTTACTCTATCTGAGATTCAGTTTCCTTACTGCTCAGAGGGGAAGAGCATTTCTTACCTGCTGGAGTCATGCAGGTAGAGGAGCCAGCACAGGGTCCAGAATGTGGCAGGTGGTTGAGCCCAGTGTGGGTCCTTTTCTTTGCCCATTATAAGCGTGACAAGGAAAGAAATGGTCCTCAGGTTAGCTTCCTATGGCTGCTGCAACAACTTGTCACAGAGTGTTAACAGCCTCGAATCTGTATGGGTCTGCAGCAACTACAGATTCTTAGCCTCTTTCAAGGAAAGAATTTGTCCAAGGGGCATAAGGCTGAGTGAGAGATGGAGGCAAGTTTTTGAGCAGGAGTGAGTTTATTAAAAAGTTTTAGAGCAGAAGGCCAGGTGTGGTGGCTCATCCCTGTAATCCCAGCACTTTGGGAGGCTGAGATGGGACCATCGCTTGAGGCCAGGAGTACGAGACCAGAGACCAGCATGGTCAACATAGCGAGATCTATCTCTTAAAAAACAAACAAAAATGTTTTAGAGCAGGAACAAAAGGAAGTAAAGTACACTTGGAAGAGAACCAAGCGGGTGACTTGAGGAATCCAAGTGGGCTGTCTGACCTTTGACCTCTGACCTTGTTTACACGTTGTCATGCTTCCTGGCGGTTGCATCTCTCCTCCCTTGATTTTCCCTTGGGGCAGGCTGTTCACATGCACAGTGGCCTGCCAGCATTTGGGAGGGGCCGTATGCACAGTGTGTTTACTAAAATTGTACACATGCTCACTTGAGGTGTTTTTCTCTTACCAGTTGAGAGTTCTCAGAGGAAGGTCACATGCCAGTTAAATTCTGCCATTTTGCCTCTTAGTTCACATGCTTGAGCCACTTGCCTCATCTTTTTGTGTGTTTTTTTTGAGACAGAGTCTCACTCCATCCGTCGCCCAGGCTGAAGTGCAGTGGCGAAATCTTGACTCACTGCAGCCTCCACCTCCCAGGTTCAAGCAATTCTCCTGTCTCAGCCTCCTAACTAGCTATGACTACAGGCGCCTGCCACTATGCCCAGCTAATTTTTGTATTTTAGTAGAGATGGGGTTTCACCATGTTGGTCAGGCTGGTCTCGAACTCCTGACCTCAGGTGATCCACCCACCTCAACCTGCCAAAGTGCTGGGATTACAGGCGTGAGCCACTGCACCCAGCCACTTGCCCGATATTATTGGGAAGTGGCTGATCACCAGCTTCAGGTGTTTTCTATCTATTGGGAGATTGCCTTTGCCTGGCACCAGCTACAACCAATTATTATTTTAGAGAGACAGTGTAACAACCAGCTGACTGTCATCTGATCATCACCTGACATTCCTGGTGGGTGTGTGGGGCATCTCCTGCCCTGCTCATGTCTGCCTAACTACCTATTCTAACAAGAGGAACTTAAAACAACACAGATTTCTTATCTTACAGCACTGGAGTCAGATGTCCAAAATGGATCTCATGGAGCTAAAATGTAGGCGTCAGTGTAACGGCCGGAACCCATTTCTCAAGACAGGGAAATTGCAATAGAGAACAAGTAATTCATGCAGAGCTGCAGTGCAGGAGACCAGAGTTTTATTATTACTCAAGTCAGTCTCCCGAGCATTCAGGGAGCAGAGTTTTTAAGGACAATTTGGTGGGTTGGGGAAAGCCAGTGAGCCAGGAGTGCTGATTGGTCAGAGACGAAATCATAGGGAGTCAAAGCTGGCTTTTTGCACTGAGTCAGTTCCTGAGTGGGGGGACCACAGGATCAAATGAGCCAGTTTATTGATCTGGGTGGCATCCCCCTATCCATCAAGTGCAGCATTTGCGAAGTATCTCAAGCACTGACCTTAGGGGCAGTTTAGGGAGGGTCAGAATCTTGTAGCCTCCAGTTGCATGACTCCTAAACCATAATTTCTTTTTTTTTTTTTTCATTTTGAAAAAGCTATTTACTTTTTTTCCAAATATTATCCCAAATAGGTGTTTTACAGATAAGGGTCAATATGAAGTCAAACATTCTACAGAAGAAAATCGTTTTTACAGACATTAAGAATAATTTTAACAGAAGAAAAAGCTCACATCTATCTAGATGTGGCTATGTTCCATGGGAAAATTTCAGCATCCAAAGTGCAAAGAAAAAATGACTGTAGCTTTTCTTACCACATAAAATATTGACAATCTTCCCTTATAGCCTACTCTTTCTCGTGGCTAATGTTAGTCCTACAAAGGCAGTCTAGTCCCCAGGCAAGAAGGAGGTCTGCTTTGGGAAAGGGTTGTTATTGTCTTTGTTTTAAACTATAAACTATAAACTGAGTTTCTCCCAAAGTTAGTTCAGCCTGCGCCCAGGAAAGAACAAGGACAGCTTGGAGTTTAGAAACAAAAGGGAGTCGATTAATTTAGATCTCTTTCTCTGTCTCAGTCATAATTTTGCAAAGGCGGTTTCATCGGTAGGGCTGGGTCCCCATTTTCGTGCACTTTCCAGCTCCTAGAGCCACCCACACTCCTTGGCTTGGGGTTCCCTCCCATCTTGAAAGCCAGCAATGGCGGCGAGTCTTCCGCACATCACCTCTCTCTGACTCTCCTCTTTTACTTATAATGACCCTTGTGATTCCATTGGGTCCCCCTAGATACTCCAAGACCTTCTCCTTCTCAAGCCCAGAGGATTAGCAACCTTAATTCCATCTGCAGCCTTCATTCTCCTTTGCCGTGGAATGTAACATATTCACAGGTTCTGAGGTTTAGGATGTGGAGAGCTATTATTCTGCCTATCACAGAATAGGCAGAAAAATCATTTTGGGGCTTGGGGCATCTGAGGAAAATCAAGGCTTCACTTCTAGAAAAATGTACATCAAAAATTGTGGCACATAATCTCAGGGGATTCACTGGCACCCATTCATGGGCCCCAGTCACGAACTCTTGAACTAAAAGGATAATGTGAGTCCTCCACCCTGTATGACATTTGTCATAGATTAGTTGTGTACTCCCATGTGTACATATGCACACGTGTGCATGAATATGCTTGTGCACTCACAAACACACACGTGTATACTGACTTATCCAGATACGTGAACATGTATACACATGTACCCGCCACATCATTTTCCTACAGAAATAGCAAGACTTTCTTTGGCTTCTCCTTGTGTGAGAGGAAGCCAGGAAGGCACAGGAAAAAAGTCTTCCCCTGCCTTTGCCTCTCCATCCAGCTCATTTCTCTCCTACCCCAAGGCCTGTGGGTCCGCAGCCCCTCTGGGCTTGTCCCTCTGCCTGACTGATCTTCATCAGTGGCCCTGGTAGATCTGATGTGGTGAGTGCGGGCCAGCCCTGGCTGGCAGGTGCCCTGTTGCTTGTTTTGCTGCAGCATGTTTGGCTCGCAGAGCAGCTTAGGGTGCTACTCTGTGTTTGCATTTTCAGAGTGGTGTGCTTTTAGGGTTCCTGGCCCTCACACCTGTGAATTCAGAGCCAGAGATGCAGTCAACAGAGGCTAGTCACAAGGAAGACAAGAGGGTTAACTGCAGCATGCACCTGCATGTACAAGAACACTCACTTCTAGGGCCACCATCCACCCCCCATGCCCCCCCGCCAACTGCCGCCTGTGCATCTCCAGGATGGCAGGTCCCAGAAAAGAGGAAGTCACAGGGAAAAGAGTGGCCTAGCTCCTACCTCAGCAGGACAGACATATACTGTTACCCCCAAGCCCACCTCCCACAGATGCCCCCCTCTCACCCCCACCATGCCAGGCTCCTCTGAGAGCCCCACTTCTTCCCCAGCCTCTGGGATAAGCCATCAGTCACTCTTTACCCTGCTTGAGTCCTGCTGCTTGATCGAGTGACAGACGCTCCAAGTCCCAAGGGTAGAGAGGTGAGAGAGAGGATCACTGTGGTCTGGCCTCAGGTGAAATACTGAAAAACTCTATCATGCTTCTGAACCTACAAAAGACAACTTCTTGCTGAAATATCTCCAGTAACTGATTATGTTAAGAGAGTATATCTCTCCTTCCCAGCCTTGAGCCAGTCTCTCAAAAATCTGCTTTCTTTGATTATATTACCTTTGAAAGGGACAGGGTCTAAGAGAGGAGGGGAAACTAATTGAGCCACCCAGAGGGGGATCCCTGTGGTGGTGCAGGGTCTGGTGGGGCCTGCATCTTCCCAGAGAAAAATGTTGCTCTCTGATCTATGGGGAATGCAGTAAACCCTTCTGGCAGCTCTTCAGAGGACAACAGTCTACAACCAGTTGGTGACAATGACCCTCCATGCCTGCATGGAGGAGGAGCAAGGGGGCAGGTGGCATCTGGTCCCTCTCCCCTCCCCACCTCACTGCTCATGCCAGTTAGCTGTGACAACCACTGGGCCCAAGGACAATGGCATGTTCCTGGAGGCATGGCTTGGGGAGCACTGAGGAGCCACCTAGGACTTCCCACACTCACTCTCTTCATCCAGGCTATGGCAGCTCTGGCTGGAAGTGACGTAAGAGAAATGGGGGTTCCCAGCTTGAGATGGAGGTGTGGCAGGGAAGATCTAGATGTGGGGAGAAGGGAAAGGAGGCTGGGAGAAGGTCACGGCCACAGAGAGAGTAGGAGGAGAAGGCAGTGTAGCAGAGACTACTCATAGCCAACCTGATCACGATTCCCCCTGCTTCCTGGTTTTCCAGGAGTTGACAATGTGCCCAGGCTCCACCGCAGCCAGCAGCAGCCAGAGGATACAGTTAAGGCCAA